>NC_000003.12:116735877-117038907 GCF_000001405.40 Homo sapiens | reverse complement strand
AAAATCTTTAGAGCTAGAATTTTGTTTTGTTTTCTATATCTTTGAACAATTGTGTAGGACAAGAATAAGGTTTTGTTCCAAGTTTTTATTTTCTTGTAAAATTCTCTGGCTCTGGGATTTGCTTGGAGGTAGCAAGTTGCTTTCAATTGTCACTTGAAGTTTTTGAATGGTTATTGATCAACTCTATTTTCTAATTTTGTGCCAGGTTTGGCAATTGTTCCAATTACTATAGCCGTGTAACCAATTACCCCCAAACAGGGGTGAAAAATAATTATTTTTCCCTCAAAGATTCCGTGGGTAAAGAGTTCAGACAGGATTATGGTGGGATGGCTTGTCCCTGAATGATGATGCTCCTTAGCTGGAAGAATTGAAGACTAGGGGCTGAAATTAGCCAAAGGCTCGTTTATTCACATATTTGACTATAGATGCCAGCTTTCAGCTAAGGCCTCTGTTCTTTTCCCTGCGGGCCTCTCCATCTGGTTTTTCCATGTATTCTTCCTAAATCAGCTAGTTTGACTTCCAACATGATGGTGGTTTTCTCAGAGCAAGAGAAAGACCCAGCATGGGAATTCCCATAGCTATCTATAGCCACATTCTACTCTTCAGATCAGGCACATACCTGCCCAGGTTCAAAGGAGTGGAAATAGACTTTGCTTCCATGGAGGAGTGGCAAGCTTCTGGAAGCAGTTGTGAATGTTTATAGAAAGAATAATCAGCCACGGTAATTTATATATTTTTTCAGATAGATAGCTCATCTGTGTTTTCACACGTATTAGTGAATAGTTGGTTGTAGTATTTTTTTTTCTTTTCTTAATTGCTGTGCTATTTCTGGCTATGTCTAAATTTTCATTTTGTATTTCATATAATTGAAAATATTGTCAGGGGCCAGGCGCAGTGGCTTATGCCTGTTATCACAGGACTTTGGGAGGCTGAAGTGGGTGGATCACTTGAGGTCAGGAGTTCGAGACCAGCCTGGTCAATATGGTGAAACCCCCCCATCTCTACCAAAAAATACAAAAATTAACCAGATGTTGTGGTGCATACTTGTAATCCCAGCTACTCTGGAGGCTGAAACACAAGAATCGCTCGAACCCAGGAGGCGGAGGTTGCAGTGAGCTGAGATCATGCCATTGCACTTCAGCCTGGGCAACAAAGTGATACCTTGTCTCAAAAAAAAAAAAAAAAAAAGAAAAGAAAGAAAATATTGTCTTTTTTCTTTCCTCACTCTTATTGGATATTTGTTTAGTCCTAAACAAAGTAGCTTTAGCTTTTAATCATACTCATTACTGTATTTTTGTTCAATGTTTCTTGATTTCTGCCTACTTTATTAATAATTATCTCTTTATTTCAGTTTGGTCTGTTCTTCTCTTTCAATGAATCTAATAGAATTCATGGCTCATTTTATTTCAATGTCTTTATACTTTCTGGTCAGTGTATTTAAAGTTATACATTTTCCTCTGATTTCTGCTTTAGTTGTGCCCTGCATGATTTTATATGCAGAGATATTGTTGTCATTCAATTCTAAGTATCTTATAATTTCTCTTATGATTTCTGCTTAAGCCCAAGGGTAATTTAATAGCAGGCTTTTTAGTTTCAGGACTAGGTAACATTTTTGGCTCTTTTTAAAATTATTGTTTTTCTAACTTTATTTCAGTAGAGTTAGGGAACATATTCTGATGTTGATTCATTGGAATTGTTTGAGCCTTTCTCTCTGTAATTGTTACAAATTTAATTTTTGTGAATATTCCATGTGAGCTAAAAAAAATCTGTTTTTGTTCTCTGGTCTCCACCCTAATGAGACTTTAGAAATTCTCAGCTGTAATCCATGATCCCTGGTCTAATAAAAAGAAGGGTGTAAACATGGACCTGACCTTCAGATGGGGAGGGGGAGGCAAAAGAACACAACTGAAAATGCTCCCCCAGCTACATTGAGGAGGGGTAAATGGTAGGAGGGAGCTAGGGAGAGAACATTTAAAGGGTGTTGACAGAGTTTAAATAGGTGGTGATAGGGACTTGAAGTGATAGCAAAAACAAAAAACAAAAAACAAAAAAAAAAAACCTCACAAAAGAAAAATAAAGACTTGGAGACTGACTGGGTCAGAAGGGCAAGAAGGAGAAGTTAGAAGAGTCAAGGATGATTATACAATTTAATTAAGTGTGTAGGGCAAGGATGAGGGAAGTCAGGAATCCAAGTTCAGATATGAGTCAGAGATGTAATTATAAAAGCACAGGCAAATGTTCCGAAGGAGCCCAGAAAAGCAGAAGTAAAAACTCCCAGTGTCCTTTCAACTGGGGAAGTTGCACTCTGCCTTCTGCTACTCTGCTAGAGCATCACAAGTTTCCCTGAGGGCCCCTGACCTCTAACCCTCATTTCCAAATCTAATGGTCTCCTCAGACAAGTATTTTTATGAAAATAAAGCCAAATAACATTGCGCTGACTTTGTCAGTCTGTTTTTTTTATTACACACTGGATTTCCGGGGAGGGGATTGCCCTCTTCATGTTTCAAGAGCCAATGCAATCTGGTTTTCTTTATATTCCCACTACTGCACCATCAAGTTGCAATCTAATCAACTGGAGATAGTGGCTGATTAATTCCCCGTAGAGTGAAATTTAATTCTTTCATCCTGAGTGTTAGTAGATGGCTAAATCAAGGTTCTACCAGGTTTCTTCCTGCATTTTATAACCTTTTGGGTCTCCTGAATGCTAAATCTAATCTCCCCTCTCCTGAACTTTCAAAAATTTTTTTAGGTCTTTCCATGTAGAAAGTATACACATCAAAACAGATGTGCTGTGTATTCTCTGCTTGGCATGTGGGGAGCCTAAACTATTTCAGCCTCAGGATTCTTATGCTTTTAAAATCCTGGGGAGTGGAGTAGAGGGCAGAGTCCCTCTCCTGCTCTGCCTCTCTGCTCCTCCCCTGGGCTTGTCCCTCTGCTCTCCCTAGAACCTGTCTCCAGCAGGCCACTTCCTCTGTGACAGCTTCAGGCATCCCAGCTGCATCTGTCCTTGGCTGTCATTCTCTGCCTGCAGCCTGCAAGATGCTTCAGCAACTCCAGTGAAAGTGCTTACATTCCTGCTCTGGCAGTGGGTGGGGAAGTCTTTTTTTTCTTCCTCTCTTTCTTTCTTATTTTGTTTTGTTTGTGTTTTTGTTTTGTTCAATTTACACATTCCTGAGCTGTCATCCTGGACCTCCCCCTCCCTGCAACAACTGTCAGACCCCCCTCTACAAGAAGACAGAGTAAACCAGAAACAAACAATGTACGAAGAGAAATTTCAAAGACATTCAGAGAAATGTGTTACTTCAAAGGCAGTAGCAAGGTCCCCCTGGAGCTCATTATTATAGCTGGTGAGATAAGGCAGGGAGGGAGCTGCTCAGTGGGCTCCCAGGGGATGGGAAAAATGGAAAAAAAAGCTCACGAGTAGTTCAGTTTAGCCATTTTTAAAAACTATCAAATCTATATATCCATCATAGATAAAGAAATAAACCTTGCCCCTTTTGTGGTCTCCAAAAGCTGTTCACTTTACTTGATATCCCACTGACACACCCCAAAACCATGAGTTCTTGAGAGGAGAATGTCTTATCCACTGTGGAATCAGTACAGCTATAGGGAAAAGAGACAGAATGGCAGGGTTAGAGGCCACACCTTGCTGAATAACAGTGGTTCGGATAATGAAGTGGAAGAGGAGAGGGGCTACAGCACCCCTAGCCTCACGCTGTACCTTAGGATGGAGAGCCATTGAGGCAGCCATGGGAACCCCAGCTGCTTTTACTTTTGGGGAGCTGGTTTTGTTTTAGCAGCAAAAGTTAACCACTATAAGAATGTATGTTAGGTAAAATTGACCCGGAAGGGAACACCTATTCCAGTAATAATTGATCTTTCACGTACTTTAGATTGTGCATACCTTTATGTTGAGATTGTGCTACCTCTTCTAGAGGTAGCTTTTTATATTTTTATCTCAACATAAAGCTTTTTATATTTTTCCCTTCAAGTTTATCTTGTTCATTAGATTGTGAAATTTAAGGTCGAGGAAAAAGATTTTTGTATTTTACTTTTGTTTTGTTTGCTTTTTCATCTCCAAACTTCTCAAGGAGTCCAAGAAGTATGAAATATCAACTAAAATTGTTTTTGAACTTAGAATATTTTATTGCTACCTTATTCAGATTTATTTTTTAATATGGATGCAATAAATTGTGTGTTTTTGGTATCAAGTTCCGTGTGTTTTGATAAATACGGAGTAGTATAACACCACTACAATCAAAATACAGAATATTTCTGTCAACCCATATGCACACACATACACAACACACACACACACACACACACCACACACACAGGTGCTAGCCTTTTTCAGTTAAGCCTTTACCCCCTGACAATTACTAATTTGTCTCTGTCCCTATAGTTTTCCTTTGTCAGAATGTTATATAAACGGAGTAACACAATATTAGAGCTTCATGTCTGGCTTATTCAATTAGTGTAATGCATTTGAGATCCATCCATGTTGTAGCATGTATCAGTACTTTGTTCATTTTTATTACCAAGTAATATCCCATTGTACAGATATAGTACAATGTATTTACCCATCCCCCAGTAGAGTACATTCAGAAGTACATTTGTTACAGGAAGGGAATCCCAACCCTGACCCCGGAAGAGGGTTCTTGGATCTCGTGCAAGAAAGAATTCAGGGCAAGTCCACAGTGCAAAGTGAAAGCAAGTTTGTTAAAAAAGTAAAGGAATAAAAGAATGGCTATTCCATAGAGCAGCCCTGAGGGCTGCTGGTTGCCCATTTTTATGGTTACTTCTTGATGATATGCTAAACAAGGGGTGGATTCTTCATGCCTCACCTTTTTAGACTATATAGGCTAACTTCTTGATGTTGCCATGGCATTTGTAAACTGTCATGGTGCTGGTGGGAGTGTAGCAGGGAGGACTACCAGAGGTCACTCTCATAGCCATTTTGGTTTTGGAGGGTTTTGGCCATCTCCTTCACTGCAACCTGTATTATCAGCAAGGTCTTTATGACCTGTATTTTGTGGTGACCTCTTATCTCATCCTGTGACTTAGAATGCCTTAACCATCTGGGAATGCAGTCCAGTGGGTTTCAGCCTCATTTTACCCAGCTCCTATTTAAGATGGAGTTGTGGCTGGGTGCTGTGGCTCACGCCTGTAATCCCATCACTTTGGGAGGCTGAGGCAGGCGGATCACCTGAGGTCAGGAGTTCTAGACCAGCCTGGTCAATGTGGTGAAACCACATCTCTACTAAAAATACAAACAAAAAATTAGCCTGGTGTGGTAGCGAACATCTGTGATCCTAGCTACTCGGGAGGCTGAAGTGGTAAAATCACTTGAACCCGGGAGGTAGAGGTTGCAGTGAGCCAAGATTGTGCCACTGCACTCTAGCCTGGGTGACAGAGCAAGACTCTGTCTCAAAAAACAAACAAACAAACAAAAACAAATAACAAGATGGAGTTGCTCTGGTTCACATGTCTCTGACATTTACCTCCTCCCTTTTATAAGGGAACCCTTAATTCTAAGGGTTGCAGAGGGATGAAAATCCATCTTCCATAACTTCTTCGGGTTGAATGGGGTGATGATATTTCTGCCTAACTATCAGGGTCTCTTGTGTTCAGGGTAGAGAGGAGCTCAGTCAGAAAATATCAGTGTGGAGAGGGCCATTTGTGACTCTCAAGTTTTGACAAGAGGTGATATCTGGAAGATTAATAAGTGTTTAGTTTAAGAAAACATTCAGTAAGCTTGTTCTATATTCCTGCACAAAGACTATAACAGCAATATATTCACAAGAGTAAAGCAAAATAAGTAAAGTTATTCCAAGTAAACTGAGTTAGAAGGCTTTTCATGAACTGGGCAACTGTTGGAACTAAGCTGATATGGGGTTATTAGCTATTGTAATGTGCCCAGAATTAGAATACTGATCCAGATTTTTACATTACCCATCCCTCTTGTTTCTTCTGAGCAACAGTCAGAGATCATTATGTGGTTCACAGGAATAAGCAGGGTTAGCCTAAATTGCAGAAACAAATGTAAAAACAACTAATGAGACTAGAATTTAATAAGTGTACCATGGTTCTTGAAATATAATATTTCTCTCTCCACTTTCCCATTTTTACTAAAGACAAATCATAGTAAGACCAATTTGCTTTATTATACTTGGCCTGATAATTTGTATAAAGTGCAGCAAGAATAATTATTTTCCACATAAGCTATTTTTAAATTGGCTTTGATGGAACTCTGTTCCATAGAAGGAATTTCAGATAAGACTTTTTTAAAGCCGAGCCCAGCCATGGGTGTTTAACCCTCAAATATCTATGAGTTGGGTAAATTTTTTCCTCTTGAGGTCCCAAGATAACTTGGGGATTCTGGACCTGTCAGAAAGTGACATACATTCTTTACTCACCACAGATCAGAAACCCTGTACAGGGACTGTGTAGGCAAGGTATGAGGCCAGTTCCCCAAGGGGCTTTTATTGGCTTTATAAGTCAAGTTTAATTCCTTAAAGGAAAACACACCATTCCAGTCAGAGCCTTGTCAAAATAACCAATTTCTCTAATTGTGTCCATTACAAAATAAAACAGATTCTTATTGAACTTATGCAAATAACTATATTGCCATAAGTTAAGAAAACTCACAACTAGTTTCCAAATTCTGGAGAAATCAGGTAGAGAGAAACAAATATGCTCCAAATTTTGTTCACAGGAGTATACTTAATTGCTACAAGCTGTAAATAGCTCAAAAGAAAAGTTTCCTTGCCTCTGAAAAACAAAACAAAGGATCAGCAGCATTTTAAGCAAAGCTAAAAAGATTACTTCCGTTTTCTATTGGTTCAGTTAATTCAGTTAATTCCTATCTATTTGATATTCATGAACATTCCAGCTCTTCATGAGAGTTCTGAAAGTTGTTTCTTCTGTTCTAATGTTACAATTTCCAAAGTTATTAGAAACCTGCATTTAAGAACACCTGTTAGAGTTCTATAGTTGATTATGAACCACCTTTTGAAGAGGATTAAAACAAGACAACAATTGTCTGTGGATGGCAAAACATCTTAGGACAGCCACAGTCAAAAACATGATTGACAAAGAAATGTGGTTAACTTTGTGGCATAGAATGATTTTATGAAACAATTATAATTATTAAAAACCTACACTAAGTCATTAGAATTATAGGACTTTCTTATTATTTTAGAACACTTACTAATAACATATTTATACAAATACAGCCTAAAGAAAACCAAATAACATTTCATATTTGATAATGCTTCCTGTATGATTTTCATACCAAATAAGCCAAATGTCACTGTTGCATTAGTGCATTATTGATGTCAAACCCAATTTTTAATAAAACATTATAGACATATTTACCCATTTCAATGTTTAACCTTAAGGTAAGATTCTTATAAACCTTTTATAACCCTTTACATTTTTTTTTTGTGAAAGAGCAGATCAGTGCTCTAAGAAAAACCTGCTGTGCTATTATTCCAAAGTTTAATTTATAGAAAAACTGAATAATACCCCTCTAACTTTAGCCATTATGTTCACACACAGAATCTCTTACAATTAATTTTTATAAACCTTCCACAACAGTTCAAACTTTCAACTTTATTCCATCTAATTTAAAATAACTCTTCAACCCTTTAGGGAAAAAAATCCACATTCCCATGTCTTCTTATAATCTTTTACAAAAAATACATTTTACTTTTCTTACACACCTTACATGTAAAATTGTTTCTTCAGTAGTCTCAATTACATATTACATGTTAACTTTTAGTGACTTTTACTTATGGTGAAAACCCTGGTTAGTAAGTAATTTTAATTGTGTACTAGTTGTGGAGCCTCGCCTAGGACACACCAGGCAGCAGTGCAGATTAGAGCTGACTCTACAGCATAGCTAAGGGGCATGGCTAACTCCACATGTCCCCTGGCCTTGCCTTACTTAAGCAGGCAAGTTGCACAGCAAGAGTTATAGTGGCATTTTATAAAGCATTTGGGAGGCCTAACGACTTTTGAATTGTACAACATTTCTTGCATAAATTCCCTTTCACAAATCCTTTTATGACTTACACAGACCATCTGAGATATTCTTGGACTTCCTGACTTGCCTTAAACATCCCTCCTTTTAAACAACCAGTCATTTTACTTTAGGACAAGAATTTACCATGCAAGATCCTTTCTTATATAAAATCTCTTTCTTTATATTTTTCTTTGTATAGGTAGGGGACATGGCTAATTTCACATATCCCCATGCCTTATCTAGAATCTAATGGCTTAAAGGTAGGTAAACTGAACAATTTTTTATAGTCAGAGAAAACAGTTTGACCTTAAAGCATTCCACAAATCTGATATCTGACCTTAATTTAGACCTAATGTCTACATTTTCAAGACTTTTTATTTTACCAACAATCTTTAAAACTGTCTTTATTTCCAAAAGATTACTAAAGTCACGTGAACAAAAAGGCATTACATTTTCTATTTTTCTGGCAAAATATTTGATTTAAGCACTTATTTTTCTAAGACAATTAGAGCTCTTTTATATATAAACATACAACAACATATAAATACACAGACAGACAGAAAATTCAGCACTTGTACAATTTTTTACTTGCCAGTTTCTTAATTGCATTACTGGCTTCAGGGTGGAGCCCTTGCAAGAACAGGGCCAGAAAAGCATGTGTTTCTAGGGCAAAATAAGCAGCAAATAAGCAGCTGAAGGCAAAGATCCCCAAAATTAAGAGCGCCATTTTTTTTTACTGGCTCCTGGATCCCCAAAAGGAGGGAAACACTACGGGAGAAGACAGTGCAGCGCTTTTACTTTGCATTTCAGTGCAAGGCAAGCCAAAGCCAATCAGCCGGTTTAGTAGTCAGCCCATCCCTCATGGGAGTCTTACCTTTCAGTGGGGGCTGGGGATGGTTCCTTATCTTCCAGGTGGCCAAGAACATGCTTCTCTGATCCAAGAGTGCAAAGAGTCAAAGAGTCAAGTATCCCTCCATAACTACTATTAGCTATCACTTAAAGTATATTTCCTACCTAGGTATTACAAACCAAAGCACTCTCATAATGTGAAGTAATTTCTGATACCCCCCAAACTCAGATAACGCGATGCAAAGGATGCAAAAAGCAGAACAGAGCCTTTGATTTTGAGAGGGATCTATTTGCTTTTAATTCCTGGGATTTCATGAGGGGAAAAAAAGGTTTTTTGTTGTTGTTGTTTTGTTTTTTCCCTAAAACTGGGTCTGTGGTGCCTCTTCTGTTTTTCCCAAGGAGTCCCAGGCTACCAGAAGTTATCTTAGGGACTCTCATGTGTGTATTAAGAGTGGCAAGACAAAAAAAAATGGAGAAAAATCATTCAGTCAACTGAGAAGAAAAAACCTTTTTTCCAGAAAAACAAGTTCCAAGAAGAGAAAAGCATAAAGGCCTTTTAGATATATCTATAGCTTGTTTATCCACTTTTAATTAAGCTGACTTTTAACCATAGTGCTCTTTAAAAAAGAAATCCTTTTAGATCTCTTATTACCCAACTTTAGCCATGCCAAGTGGCCAATATTTCTAGCTTCTGAACATTACCAAAGGTGACCTCCTAGGTGCTTACAGAAAGGAAAATTTAAGGCAGTCCATGGAGAAAAGAATAGACAAGGTCACACAGATATTAAACCAGAAACGACTTACTTCCTAGGTGGGGAATTGAACCCAGACAGCTACTGTGAAAGTGCAAAAATCTTAGCTACTGAGCTACAGGATGGGGCAGTCCCCATTTTCTTTCCCAGAAGAACTCTAGAGTAGTTAATTTTGAGCTTGCAAAGCCTTTTAACTATTTAATATGATTTTTAGAGCTAACTATGACATGAAGACTAAAATTCCTGTTACCTGGATGGCAGAGACTAAGAGAAAGTACTGCCACGTGGTTAAAAGGTCAAGCTCCCAAGGACATAAACAACATGGAGACTTTATCCAGTTTTTTGTTTGTTTCAGGGACCTGCAGCCAAGTTTGTTACTAATCGGCTTGCTGGGTCATCTTGAAAAGTGGGCTTACAAGTGTTCTAAGTCCATGTTTTATTCTACAGAAGAACAAATTCATAGCACAAAATACAGCAGCTTAAGGCTAGCCTTAGAATTCTTTTTCCCATTAAACAAAACTTTACAGAGGAGATAAACAGATATCTATATATATATAGATAGATATTTATTTATTTTTTCCATCCATTCAACCATTTGCACACAGAGAGAAAACAGAAATCTAACTGGTAAGAAATTCTTACCCTTTTGCCTGCATGCCAGGATTCTGGGTTGCCTTTCCCTGACTGGCCCTAGTGATCCAGCTTGCGGCACCATGACCCTGGGGGTCAAGCCGTATCATAAAGGAAAAGTATTTTTTTTTTTGTTCTGGCTAGAGCAAAATACATGTGATAAAACATACACATTAGTCACTCTGCTTAGCACCCAATGTCAAACTGGCAAGGCTTAAATTTACCCTCACATGGGCCCTGTCATCTTTAATCTCCGACTAGGAGTTTCAACATGTGGTCTCTAGGCAAGATGGTCACCCTGAGTAACAGAGAAGATAAGAAAAGGGAAAGGAGAGAAGGAAAGTATTGCCTGTGGCAGGGTGGGGAAGGTGAATGGTATAGGGAAGCCAGAGAAAAGACCCACTCATTGCAGCAACACTGAAAAGTTCAGGTGGCTGCTTCTCGGTAGCAAAGGGATCTTTTTCAGCAGTCTCGTTAGCTCTCATTTTCCGTTTTATGAAGGAAAAAGTTCCCCATGTCCCACGATCCTGTACATGCCTAACCCTGTCACCCGCAGCCATCAGCAAAGAGTGCAAGGCAGATTAATTAGCAGTAACCTGTTCTTAGTCAAGAGAGACTTTACCCAGAGAGGCCTCTAACCCCCTAAATCTTTACAAGGGACTCTAACCTTCCTAAGTCGGGCCTCTAACCCGAGGTGGGTCAAGTGTTCTTGCCTTTTATTAAGAGGTGCCTCTAACCTACTTTGTCTTAGGAGAGACGCTAGCTCCCCTAAGTTAGGCCTTTAACCTAATCTCATTCTTTACCCTGGTACCCCACCACTTACCCAAAGTTGTTCAATCAGCGCTGAAGTCTATTTCTTTTGGGTTGGGGGGTGGGTCTCCTCCGTATTGTCCCTTTTGTGCTTCATGAGAAAGATGTTTTGTTTTTTTTTGTTTGTTTGTTTTTAGAACAACTCAGCAAAACAAAATTCCTGTTTATTGTTGGACAACATTGTTTCACACATGCATCAAACAGGCCAAAATAAATAAATAAATAAATAACAGCAACTTCATAGACAAAAAAGGAAAAAAAAGAAACCTTTTATCTTTGGCCTTTTTAACCATCTCATACAAACCAACTACTTGTAGTACAGCTAAGTACATACACAAAAAAGTTACTGGAATGCTCAGAATAAGATTGTTTTTCTGTTGTCGTTTTTGCTTTTTTAACAAGGTTTATTTCTCCTTTGAGATTATAGTGAACATGGTCTCACCACAAGTAAAGTCAGAAGTAGGACAGAGAACACTCTGAAGGCTGGTTTGGTCATCCGAGATCATTAAAAATGGCTGACCCTAACTATATGTACAAAAATATAAAATGTAAATAAAAAATACAAACAAATTTCCTTTTTAAAGTACTTTTAAGAAAAAAAGCAGGGCCTTGGAAGTTTTGATTCTTTTTTCCTCCCCTGTTGCAAATTCTCATGGTTTGGGTCGAGTGGTGGACAGCGCGTGTCACCTGCGCGTGGAGCCTCTCTACTCGATGACCACGTTTAGATTCTGAGACGGGAAGTGGAGGGTGAATAGGTCATGGTGGCCTTTTTTATTAATTTACCTTTTCCTTTTTTGCTGTCTAGTCATCCTCGTCGGTCTTCTGCTTCCTGGTATTGACATCGTCATCTTCATCATCTTCAGCTGCCTGCTTGCCCGTAGCTGACTCAGCTTCCTCATCTTCCTCATCTTCATCTCCATCCTCTTCCTCACCATCACTTTCTTCTTCCTCCTCCTCTTCCTCCCCACCTTCTTCCACTTTTTCATCTACCTCATTGTCAGCCTCCTGCTCCCCATTTTCCTCATTAGCATTCCCGTTAGCAGGGGCGTCTTTTCCATTTTCTGCCTATTCCACAACTTCCTTCTTCTCCTTTAAGTCCTTGGTGGCGATTTCGGAGCTCCTGTCTACAGCTGCGTCTGACATGGTGGGGCATGCCGGTGATTCGATGCAGGGGATTAAAAAGACAGCGAGAGTTCAGGGACTCTGGCGATAAAGCTGCCGGAGTCCGCGGCGGCTGAGGAGGCGCGCGGCGGAGGCTGCTGCTGCGAACAAGGAGGCGAACGAGGAACAAGGCAAAGATGGCTTTTCAGAGCAGCCGTGGGGCGAGAAAGATGTTACCGGACCCCACCACTTACCCAAAGTTAGCCTTTGGTTTGGGGGTTTCTGCAGTACAGTTACTTCTGTGGTCACCAGAAAGATGTTACAGGACCCCAACACTTACCCAAAGGTAGCTGTTGGGTCAGGGTTTCTGGACTAGAATCCCTTCGTGGTAGCCAGAAATATGTTACAGGAAAGGGGTCCTGATCCAGACCCTGAGAGAGGGTTCTTGGATCTCATGCAAGAAAGAATACAGGGCAAGTCCGCAGTGCAAAGTGAAAGCAAGTTTATCAAGAAAGTAAAGAAATAAAAGAATGGCCACTCCATAGACAGGGCAGCTGAGAGGGCTGCTGGTTGTCTTTTTTTTTTTTTTTTTTTTTGAGACTGAGTTTTGCTCTTGTTGCCCAGGCTGGAGTGCGGTGGTGCAATCTTGGTTCACTGCAACCTCTGCCTCCGGGTTCAGGCGTTTCTCCTGTCTCAGCTTCCCAAGTAGCTGACATTGCAGGTGCATGCCACCACACCTGGCTAACTTTTTGTATTTTTAGTAGAGATGGGGTTTCATCATGTTGGCCAGAATGGTCTCAAACTCCTGGTCTCAGGTGATCCACATGCCTCGGCCTCCCAAAGTGCTGTGATTACAGGCATTGAGCCACTGCACCTGGCCTGGTTGTCCATTTTTATGGTTATTTCTTGATGATGTGCTAAACAAGGGGTAGATTATTCATGCCTCTCATTTTTAGACCATAAAGGTAACTTCCTGACTTTGCCATGGCATTTGTAAACTGTCATGGTGCTGGTGGGAGTGTAGCAGTAAGGACGATCAGAGGTCACTCTCGTGGCCATTTGGTTTTGGTCGCCTTCTTCACTGCAACCTGTTTTATCAGCAAGGTCTTTATGACCTGTATGTTGTGCTGACCTCCTGTCTCATCTTGTGACTTAGAATGCCTTAACCGTCTGGGAATGCAACCCAGTAGGTTTCAGCCTCATTTTACCCAGCTCCTATTTAAGATGGAGTTGCTCTGGCTCACATGCCTCGGACATATTCAGTTTGGGGCAGTTATGAATAAAGCTGTTCTATACATCAGAGTAAAGGTTTTGGTGTGAACATAGGTTTTCAGTTCATTTGAATACATATCTTGGAGTGGGCCACATAAATTTTTGTTTAGTGAATTAATGAATGAATTGACTAGTATGCAGTGTTTTTTATTTTCCTCTATAAGCTGTTCTCAGTTTCTTTTCTCAATATGCCACTAATGTAACAAGGCTGTTCCAATGCCTATTTCACACTGAAATCTAGTTTCTGGGATCATTAACCTTGTATTTCCATGAAAATTTCACTTCAGATGTAAAAATGATGTGACGAGGGGTTCAATTTTTATTTACAGAATTCAAGGGCACAGAGCTCTTAATTCCCAGTTCTGCTTTTTTGGGCTGAGTGGGTCTGATCTCCCTATGATAAAAGGACAAGGAGCTTGGCTCAAGTGCATCTCAGCCTCCAGGAGACAATTTGACTCCTGAGTTTCTTCCTAGGTTGAGGCTGGCTAATTCTCTAAGATTGTAAGCACTGGTTGCTTCTTATGCCCCCCCTCTAAATCGACAAGGCAAGAATAGATGATGAATGTTCTGCCTCTTTTGTAAATGTAGAAAGAGGGATAATTTGGGTACATTACCCCCAAGGGTATCACTACTACTATGTAAAGTCTCATCAGCTCTAAATAATAAACCAATGTCCATAAATCCATTCCCTTATTAATCACGTATATGGGGCTGTAGCAAGCAAAGCTGGCTAAAATAATTGCTAATTTTTGTTCCTTTGAAGCACATTTTTTTCACCAAGCAGTCCCATAAAGATGTGCTTTAATGCTTTGTGAATGCATCAAAAGACTTTCATTGAATAGGATTTACACCATGTTAATTTGAAGTAAGGTATACATTGTAAATTAAATCTTACACCAGTCCCTTTTTCTGAGTAATCCAAATTCTTTTTATATCATGTTGAGACAGGCCAAACTTTAAAAATGTACCATCAAGATATACTCAGTGATAATAGTCTTCATTTGTGTTCATCACAATTGTGATAATCAGGAAATCAGATAATATATGAGAAAAAGCCCTAATGTTAAGCCTATACAAAGAACAAACTTTATAAATTTTATCACCATTATATTCAAACAGCTCAGAGGCTCTTAACTATTTTTAGATTATAGACCCCTTTGCAAATCTGATGTAAACTATGGATCTATTTCCAGAAAACAAAAAAGTATCTACACACCCAGGAACAAAATTTTGCTTACAGTTTTAGGGAGATGATAAAATAAATGAAGTACATCTTTAAATTCCTTAATGATCCATGTCCAAGTTAAGGACAAAACTTTTATTGCATACACATTCTTGTTTGACATGTAGGAAAAACTATTATTTAAAAGAGTAGATGGATGATCCTTTTCAAAGACAATGAGGAAAGAGAAACCGAATCTAGCATTTGATTGGAAGGATTCATTTTAAAATCATGTGTAAAAGAATAATAAAGAAGAACACAGGAGAAAAAAAGGCCCATGGGAACCACAGTTAAACAGAACCTCTTCACCAGTGCCTACCACAGTGCATATAGAAGAGGCTCAATATATATTTGAGAAGGGAAGGAAGGAAGTAAAGGAAGAAATAAGGAGAAAGAAAGAAATGAAGCAAAGAAGGAAGGGAGGAAGCAGGAAAGGAAGGAAGCAAGGAAAGAGGGAGGGGGGAAGGAAGGGAGAGAAGGGAGGGAAGTGGGGAAGGCCGGCCGGCAGGCAGGCAGGAAGGAAGGAAGGAATGAAGGAAGGAAGGAAGGGCGGGCGATGTCTTGCCGGTAGGATATGTGTTAATAAAAAGGCAGGAGGTGACTGCAATAGCATCCTCTATAAGTGACCCAGGCATGGATTGTATTTCCTTATGAATATGTTGGAAGAACACACTGAAGAACAGAAAAAAGTTTTCCTGAACACAGCAAGCCAATGTATACAAATCTAGCCCTGAGCTCAGTGTCACTAGATTGACAAGTGGTATGCCTGCTGCAGCTTTAGAGGATGAGGGATGGAACTCATTCCGTCCACCATGATTCCAGTTGCAGATCAGATTTGGTCTACTCCAAAGCAAACTTCTGATAAAGACTTCTCCTTCCACAGAGTAGCTTTCATCCTTTCCTCAATAATCATGTTCATCAGCCTAATGAGGTCTTTTGTTAGGCTGCCATTATCCTTGTACTTGTCTGAGCTTGCATCCCAGAAAAACAATTAAGGTGAAGAAAGGAGTTGCTGCCAAGTAACATTTCCTTGGTTGTCTTCTTCACAGCTTCCTGCCAAACTTCAAACCTCATGCCCCCGAAATGCTTTCTTTCAGTTTTTGGAAAGGAATATATAGTCACTGAAGTCGTCCAGGTTTGAATTTCAACCCTGGCTCTATCACCGGCTATGTCACCTTGAACAAAGCTCTTAACTTCTTTGAGTCTCTTAGGATTATTAGGATTCTTGGAGCAGCTACATATGAGTCAAATGGGTATATTACCAGAGAAGTAATATACTTACCTTCCCATGTGAATATATCGGCTATACATGTTTATACTTTACAATGGTAGTAGGAAGAGCTAGAGCCAAAGGGATGGGAGATGTCAAAGGGAAGAAGTAGAGAAAATAAAGAGATGGTAGCATATTAGAAGAAGGTAGTGGGTGCATGGCAGAGTCAGAGTCCAGCAACTCTATTAAAGGAAGGAAATGAAAAGCAAACACTGGTGTCTCCAGTCCATATCATCTCTGCTGCCTCCTCCAGTTTTGTTAACATGATCCTGAATGTCTCCAGGAAATGTATCTGTATAAGAATATGCTTCATATCAAGCAGTATTGGTAGCCTTTTCTTTCTACTCTATTTTTTTCTCTTTGTATTTAAAAGCCCTTGCTTGTTCTTTGGGTAGAAGGAGGAAATACTTAACATTTTTCTAACACATATAATTCATGTTCTTATTTACTACATAAGGCCCTATGCTATTTACTTTTAATACCTCTGTGTTCTAATCTTTGGAATCTAAGTTTAGGCACCTGTCTGCTACAAAGAAATTCCCCTGTGGCTTAATGTCTTTCGACTGTATGAATTTATACTCCTGCATCCATTCAGGTCCAGCAAAACATACATTCATAACATACTTTGCTGTTTACACAGTATTTTTATATAAATTTTAATGTCAGAGCCTCATGGAAATTAAGATTCAGAAATGGTTAGTTGTTTGGCCAGTGTCACACAACTAGTGAGCTGTTGAACTAAAACCTAGCGTGAGACCCTGTCCCCACCAAAATAAATTAATTAAATTAAATAAAATCTAGGTTAGCTAGTCCCATTTCAATGTATAAACTCATTTTACATCTCTGATAAGTCAAAGAAAAAATGAGTTAATTATATAGATAAAAAATATACATTTAATTATGTATTACTGAATATATAATCACACACATGTAGTCAGGTAAGCATTTTTTTTTTTCCCCCTGTCCTTGGCATTTCATTAGTTCTCTCAGCATTTTTGTGAGTTTGAATAGCAATTTTCATTTTGTAAATAGAAAAACTGAAACACGGTGAGGTGTTCAGTGAACTGAATATTTCTCTATCTTGGAAAAAAGTTCAGAATACTGAGGACACATTATTTAAGCATGTTATTCTGGAGCTAGTAACCGCCCTCAGAGAAATCACATATCTCAGTAATTTTGTCTCAGCTTTATAAAAGTCGCAACAATGAAAGTGTTTGTAAAATTTATTTGCTGCTGTTTTGTTTCAAGATAGCAACTTGAGCTACACACTATATAAACTATGAACATCCATTATCTCTGTTATACAGGTACTGTTCCAGGTGCCAGTGCGTACACTACCTTTAGGAAAACATCAAATTCCACAAACTCAAAATAAACCATACTCGACTGATCTACAAATGCACGTGAACTAGATTTAGAAAAGTTTTCCTTTGTGTTAAACAAATAATGTCCAATTTTATTCTATAATTTTAAGTACAGAAGTGCTGGTAGCATTTTTCTATACATTCTGTTAAATTATTAGACTTACAATTAAGATGCTGAGAAATGTAAACTCTTATTAAGTGGAAAATCTTCACTGAGCACGCATCCCTATTTAGGAGAGTCCTTTGTCTCTGCAATAGGGGTTCCAGCCACAGGGCCTTCCTGCCTTTTAACACAGGCTGACACTGGGAAACACCAAGGCTGGAAACAGGCTTCTTGCTGAAATCTAGTTCCTATTTCAGGAGAAAATCTATCTCTGGGAGAAGACAAAGGGAAAAATAGATTCCAGGGAAGCATTACACACAGGATTGAGGGAGAATATGATCCCCTAAAGTGAAACTAAACCTGTCCTTAGACACTTCTCTGAGTATAGCAACAACAGTGTAAAGAACCCTTCTAGCTTTGAAAACCAGACCAGAAATACTGGAACTGATCTTCAGGGACTAAGAGAGGTAGTGAGTTGGGTTGGTCTGGGAAGGACCTTTTAGTTGAAAAGATTTTACCCCAGTTTACTGGTTGAGCTGCCTGTGTCACTAATTTTTGTTGACAGTACCACCCTCCAAGTGGGATTCTGGCTTCCGTTGCTCTGCAATTGCTTGTGGTACAGGGGCTCTCCAGCTTTGTCCCTGACCTGGTGTCTTTTTCTCTTCTTCTGGCTGAATAGACGTCATCCTGCTTGTGAAATTGAACAGTTCCTAGTCCAGGCCACAGTTTCTTTCTCTGATCCTTTTTATTACCTTAGTTTGCGGCATTGACATATTTCAGCATATTCTTCCTTCCCTCACCCACGTCATCAGTCCTTTCCCAGAACTCCTGCCCTTTTTCTTATTTGATATATACTTTTCCCCCCTACAGCCTCCTAGACTCCATCATGCTGGTATTTCTTCCCTTTCAATGTTGCTATCCCTGTATCCCTAATCTGAGCCTCTTTCCTTCCTCTATAATTTGGGGGAATCAAAACTAGTATTTATATTTTTTATTCTACCCTGAGCCTTAACCATTGATATCCCCCTTCCCAACAATGGTGATACTTACCTCTCTCATTTCTACCCACAGTCCTCATCCTGCTGGGGCTTGGAGCTGTCTAAATAAAGTAGATCTCGGGATGTCCTCATTCCTATCAAGGAGTAAGAAAGAGAGAGGAATCACCCACCCAAGTTTCAAAATAACAGAGGATGAGAGAAGCAGTCAGGAAAATGTGATCCTGTATATATCCCATGGAGATATTATTGAATGTAAAATTCCTTACATTTATTCACTCATTTTTTTCAGCAAATGTTTTTTGAGTACTTATTTTACCCCAAGCACTATGTCAGACTCTGAATAAGGGTTAGGAATATCAGACATTTACGTGTGCCAAGCAATGTGCGAAGCACATTTAACCTTCAAAATAACACAAGGAAGTAGGTATGATAACCCCCATTTTAAAATAAGGATCCGTGGTCAGTCAAGTTAACAGGTTGCTTAAGTTCACACAGTTGATAAAGTGACTCTACTACAGTCTCGTGCTTCTCATGTTATGATCAAGCACATTGTGCATTAAGGAAACTTTTATTATTTGTTTGGGGAAACTGAACAAATTATTTATTATTTCTAACAGGGTGGATAGACTTTCGAACAACCAATATACAATCCGCCTGTTGGTAATTTAGGAAGCGTTTCTAGCCTGCTTGTTTTAGGGTTATTGTTATTCATTTACATGTTATAATCTCCTTCTTATCTAAATATTGTATTTGAAATCCAAATACACAGACACACACACACACTCTTTTTTAGTATAAGAGTAATTACAACCCCATATTGAAAAAAGGAAAAATGCTACAACAGAAGCCATTGAATTAAACTCAGAAGTGGGTTATGTAGAGAAAACAAGCCAGTTGCAACGTATCCCCATCTTAAGTTTTCTAATTTTTCTAGCCATGAAATGATCTTTCTAGATACTCTTGCCGTGGCTACGTACAACTGCAGGAAACAGGGTCTTATCTCAGAAACACAAATCATATAAACCTCTAGAATGTGTCTGGGGGATTCTACTGCATCTGTTTTTCCTTCCTTCAATCACAGATGCCTAGCCTCTACCCTGGGCCAATTAAAGGGGATACTTTCAAAAGACACTCTGAAAGCTGAGGGACAGAAAATTTAAATGCATTCGCTCAGCAGGGCACATTCAACTGTGTTTGGGCTCCCCCTAGCTGCATGGAACCAGATTCTCATTGCTTAAGCAGTTCAGCTGAATGCTTAACCTCAAAAGGCTGCGTGCAACAGAGCAAAGATTTTATCTCCTCTGTCTCCCTGGTTTACTCTTCTGAATACACTGTTGTTATTGCATTCAGTTGCGGAGACCGGAGAGCATATTAAGTAGTCCTGGTCAGAAGAGGGAACTCAAGTCAGAGAAAGAAAAGGCAAATGTTATTGTGGGGATTGTTTTAGCGATGCTTTATGAATGTCTACAAAGATAACATCAATTTCCCTTGTCAATACCTTTATTGGTTTTTTTCCCCCAAAGGGAGTGGGCTGAATGTGCTCACTTATTAAACCACCTCGGTCTCACATATAACTGCCACTGTTTTTACATGTAACGTCAATTCATCCTTGTGTAAGGAGTCAGACCGGGTGGAGGGAGTTTGACAGGAAGAGCCACATCATCCACGGCAAAAGCAGCTACCTGGCAGCTGTGGAGAAAGATGTCCCAAAGGCCTTCCCACACATCCAGAGCTACTGCCAAGCAAGAGGAGCTTTAGGAATGAGAAAATTAGAGATGTTTTAGCTTTTGTCTGCCTTACCAAAGCCTACTGTTACTGTTGCTACTGCAAGACAACAGAAGACATCCCCAAGCGGCTTCCAGCATCCCCAAAGCTCTGCCTTAGGGGCTCTGACATTTCAGTGGGTTTTTTTTTCTGTCTTATGTACTGTCGTTGCACTTGGGGAATTACAAAGAGCCAAACAGATGTAGCATAATATATTGGTTAAAGTCATCCATATTGTTATCTATGGAGCGCTGCTGCCTAGGTAGAATGGAGCCACCTATTGTCTCTTTCAATGGAATTAAATGAAGTCTTTGAGTCTACAAGTATTAATTCAGTACTTGGTAGGTTCAAGGAATAGTTCTGGGAACCAGAACACTGGAAATCATTCAGATGCCAGCTCTGCAGGCAAGGACCTCACCATCTATTGGAGGAGGGCGAGCTCCTACACAAGTGAGGGCACGGCCAGGCAGGGTAGGACTTGGCAGGTAATAGAAACAGGGTGTTATGAGGGTGTGGGTGAGGAACAAACCTGTTGCCTGTGATGGAGATTGGGTCAGGAGAGAGGTGCCAGGGGCAACTTCTCAGGATGAATAACATTTGAAGAGAAACAGGCAGAATAGACAGGGTTTTGAGAAGCCAGAAAAGGGATCATAGGGCATTCTGGGAAGAAGGAACATTGCAAAGAGAGAAGTGGAGGTAAGAATGTTAATGGAGCACTGCGGTGGTATTCCATGGCTCCAGTGAGAATGGCAGGGATGAAGAGATGCATAAAAGACTGGCAGGCAGGGTGGGGCCTGATTGTGAAAGGACTTAACCATGGCAGTGAGTTTCCATTTATTGTAAAGGCATTGGGAGCCACATAAGCCTTTTTGAGTGAGGAGCTGGCTTTATCAGATTGGTGTTGTAAGAGAAACTGCAAAGCCTGTTGGGATTGGATGAGAGAAGGCTGTACTAGATAAGTTAAGGAGGATGGATGATGCAGCAATCCATCCCGAGAGGGAGCGAGAGGGTCAGAACTGGAGCGTGGTGCTGGGAACCCAGTGAATAGCACGATTCAGCCTGGCTGTGCTCTGACAGTCTGGATTATCTTGGGGCTGTCTCAGAGGAGATCTGGGGCTGCCCCAGAAGTGGGTTTTACTCTCACTGTGCTGTGTTGTATTAATAGCTGACAGCTGTATTCTTCTCTGGTTTTGTACTTTTCTTTTTTTTAAGTAAAAGCACATCAAACCAGTTTTCTATTAGTTTCTACTCCTAATCCTCTATTAACATAAATGTTTTATGCTGAATGTGTGGTAACCCACAACAAAATCTCATTTTCTAGATTCAGAAATGTTAAAACAAAAATGATCAACACCGCCCCCCCGCCAAAAAAAAAATCCTCACCATGGAATATAGTTCCAGAAATGACTAACAGTATTAAGAAATAAACACAGGTGTTCTGAGACACAGCACTTAACCCTCAGCCACATTTGCCTCCTGCTACTTTCAGCCTACTAACCTCACCCATGAATTGACAATATGTAAAAACCCCTTCTGTCCTTTCACGTTGTATAAAGTACTTTAGTGCTATAGTGTTAAGCAACATTTAAGTAATTAATGCATTTCTGCTGTCACAATGCAGCAATTTTGCCAGAATGTATGTGGGAGAATGTAGATGGATTAAACACATTTATATCTCCAAGAAAATTGAGCAGCTATGTCAAAATAAAATATCACTGTGCATGGTTTACCATTTTATTTTTTTCTCTAATTATTAGACAAATTTCAAACTTGGCTGTCTGTCTGAGTATGAGACAGATTAGGGCTATTTATTTATACCTAATTCCAATTAGAATATATAGGATTGTCATTTCTAAAATAAGTATGGTTCAGTGTGAACATTATCATACTTTAGAAATTATACAAAATAATTTCTTTCAGACACTTTTAAACAATGCAGTAAGTGAAAACAAGTTTAAGGGTCCAAAGAGAATATTTGGATATTGGTATTTCCTTGCATCCCTTTCTCTCATAAGGAGGAAGGTCAGATCTACCCCCAGCAAGACTGGAAGAGCTGCTCCACTTGGCCAGCTCTCTCCTCTTTCATTTCAGAAAATGCAGAGAGTGAGGGCAGATCCCATACACTAAGACTTAATGCTTTCTAGAGCCTCTTTCTGCTCTGTGATTCTGCGGCTTCTGGCGGCTCCTAGAGGATCCCAGACTGAGCATTGATAGGCCTCTGAGGGCAGGTGAAAGATCTCTGTTGATAGCAAGAAAAGCAGGCACACAGGAAAGCCTAGGATCAGAGGTGGGGGTTGAGGAGTGTGAGAAATAAAAATGGTGGCATTATTACCTAGTTTTTCTGTTTGTTTGTTTGTTTTCATTGTTGTGTTAACCTTCAGCTGCTCTACAGATTCTTGCTGTATTAGGGTTAGTGAAGTGCTGAATTTTTGCCGATTTTGCAAAGCATAGTCACGACAGTTACTCTCAGATCACCTTGTGAACCCGACTCCCAGAAAAGCAGCCAGAGTTCTCATTCTTCTGTATTCTCGGCAGAGTTTGGAATATCAACTCTAACCCTGCCAATTACTTCTTAAGGTGAGAGAAATGCAGGCAGGACATGAATATAAGATCGTGGTCAGTTTCCAATCTGCAAAGAAAAAGCTCACTGAAGTGGACTGCAGGTGCAGAAGAGGGCCGAGAGGAAGGTTTGCCGTGTTTTCTTTTACAGTGATCCCCACTCTAATAACTACTTTTTGATTTCTACAGATTAGCGCCAGCAAATTAGCATAATGACATTACCCAGACGCCTTTGCTGTTGTTTTCTTTCAAAGGTCGTTGTGACTGAGGTTGGAGAATGTAATGGATTAAGAAAAAGAAAGGGAAAATTACCATATTTAATATTGTTTCTAGAGAAATTGACATAGTTTATGGAGCCGAGAAATATAATGCAATTTTCTCCTCCATCCCTGCTGGAACGAGAAGGGGTGGGGTACAGGGGAGCAAGAGATGCGAGTGGTGGAGCACATAGTTACCGAGATGATGTAGCTGCTAACAGGCGACTCCCACATTACCTTCGGCTCTCAGGGGTGGCCCCAGCGAAGCCAGGTTCGTTACCTGTAAAATCTGGGTGTGATCAGAATAGCATTTCAATGAAATTAAACTTGGGATGGTTCCTAGATAATAGATACATGAATGTGTGAGAAAAGACCTTGATCACAGGGCCTGCTCTGTGCCTTGTGCAAAATCAGAATTGCTGGCAAAGAACACCAGGGACAGGCACGCAAATTGCCTTTACTCTGTTACACACATACCAATTGCTATAATATTGAAGAAAATATTTATACATCCCTTTTCCTTCCTCTGCTTTATGCTTCATTGCCTTTTCTCCATTTGTGGTTTATAGATGGAATGACGAAAAAATGTAGAAGGCAGGTGGCAAGAGTGAAGATGTTTCCTAGATACAGAATTTCAGAGTGGCTAAGAGGCAGGTCTTTCTCATCAGGCGACTGAATTAATTCTGGGCTCAGTCTTTTACTAGCTGTATGAAAGTTTCTTAATTTCCTTTAACTTCATCTGTAGAACAGAAGTGTTGTAAATGATGACAGGAAAAGTATAGAAGCAAGATCAATTGCCACTAATGGGATAAATATCAAAGAAACTGACTAAATAGACTAAATAGTTTGATGTTCCTTTGTTGAGGAGAGGATGATACAATTTAAAGAAGAACCATGAAAATTAATTAAATATTGATGTAAATTATGTTAGTGAGGTATGATATGCAGGCAAAAAAATGACAAACGGTTTACTAAATACTATTGCTAATATAGTTTTAAAATCCCTGACACTAGCATTGTGCTTATTTTGTTTTGTTCCCAAGTACTGAAGAATCAAAAAATAGAAATATAATATATATAAGGCAGTAGTCAAAGATAAGGAGTTCATTTGACACTTTGAGGGACCTAATGAGTAAAAATAAACAAATACATACATAAATAAGCTTAGGGAATTGGAACAAATGAATAATACCATTAAGTCAATTAGAAGAACTTGAGAAAAAGGGTAAAAATGAAGATGATACAAACACAGAAGGTAAAATAAAGGGAAGGGGAAGATTCCTGAGCCCGTTTCTTTCCATAATTGGCCAAGAAAATGCTTCTTCCCCACAGTCTTGTTCTTCAATTTTGGAGAAAATGGTGAGAAGAGGGTTCCCGGTGTAGAAATGTAATTTAAGCCACACAAAATGTTCACCTCCGTGTGTAAATTCCACAGACGACTATTAGAGAAACTGTGGCTTAGTGGAAAGCGCATAGGTGGAAAAATCAAGTCCTTGCCGTGTCTATTCCCTTCTTTATCAATGGAGCTAATTTCCCATTTGTAGTTCATAGGTGGAATAAAGGGAAACTGCAGAAAACAGATGGCGAGGCATGAGAATGTTTCCTAGACACAATATCCCACAAAGTTGTCTTATGGATCAAATGAGATTAATTAAAATGTTTTAAAATTATAAAGTATCATTTAAATATAAGACTATTCGTATAGTCTCTTATAGCATTTAATGATTTTAGTAATAGTTATTTATTCTTACAGTTATCAGCTACACAGATCATTCCTAATTTGCCAATGTGGACACTGGCTGAGATTAGAGTTTCTATGCTATACTATGCCATATATATATATACACATACACACACACACACACTTTTTATATATACACACTATACTATATATACATGCTATATATTATTACTCAGGTTCATTCACGTAGATGATATAGGCCAGATTAAATCCTACCCTTTCACAGCATTTCCATAGGAGTAGGAAGCTTCCTTTGATACAGATGTACAACTGTCCTTCAACAGTCCCAGTAAATAAAATCTTCAGGGTTTTCCTCCCCATCCAGCCTGAGTTAAATCTACTTATAAGTGATAGACTCTTTTCATAAATAATTAATGGTTACTTAACAAGAGTTTAGCATTTTCCTGCCATTGTTTTGATTACATTAGGTTCACAAGGTGACTTTTTGAGGAAATGTGAATGGCATTTACCCTAGATAGCTGTGATTAATTTTTGTCTGTTTTTAGAAAAGCTTTTGTTTCATTATCATGAAGTAAAAAAATGGAGCCTGAAGAAAATCAAAACAAATCTGATCTCAGAATACCTGAAGCTTTGATTAAACTATCTTAGGGATGCTAGGTCTATTTTGTACTTACATAATATTATTTATTTATGATTTTGATTTATGTGGAACTTGCAATGGGAGCTCTTTTGTGAAAACCACCCTTTCAGGGATAGCATTTATGAATCAGCACTGAACTGTTTGCTTTTTAGACTGTGGTCTTGGGTTCTTATAGCTACATCTTTCAGTGAAGACTTAAAACTCAAGGCTTGATCATGGGCAATGGTTGAGGATCCCATGACACCTCTGAGAAACCATTAGGATTAGCTTCCATGCCTGGCCATTTCCCCATTTGGGTATATTCTTCTTCATATCCCCAAGGTTCCTTGGAGGAGACTTTTTGGTTTAAACTGTCTTGTTTTTTAGTTGCAACTGTTAAGCAGCTGCTTCATTATGCTCTCCACGTGGCAACATTTCTATTGAAAACTGAAAGAGAATTACAACATCAGAAGGGGGCAAAAAAGCAAAACAATGGCAACAATGAGAGAGGCAGTAGGGATGCAGTTAGAGTGTGTGGTAGTGAGTTTCTTATGGCTAATGTTCAATATACACTTGCAAGTCAATAACGACCTTGGTTATTTTTAGAAAATCTTATTTTCTTCTCTGTTGTGAATGTTAGTCAAGACACCATGACAATTATCCCTGAGTAAGAGGGATCCCTCTGTGAGTCTCATGCTTTAGGACATCTTCCCCACCAGTTATACCTACACTGAGGGGGTCAGAAATCCTTGGGGGTCAAAGAGATAAGCCCACCCTGGGCCCACCCCAGCCCTTCTAGACTATGATCCTACTTCAGATGAATTTAAAATTTACTTGCTCAAGTATCCCTGAGCTCACTTCCAGAATCTGTATGGATCTCTTTCCTAGGCTTGTTTTTCTAAGTGCTCACCATAACTTGTGTGCACATCTCTAGGCCAGAAGGAATGTCCAAGGGTAAGTTGGTAGCATGGAGAGTAGACAAAGCTTGGATGTGGAGCCTTGGAGTGTCCACATGGTTGCGTTTCCTCATTGTGTTGACTGAGCCAGGGGTGGGAAGAAACACGAGGAAGCCCATGGGTCAGGGGTCGGAGCTGGGGCCAGTTCCTCTTGTGGCACCATGTTCTGATCTAGAACTCCAAGTGGCCTAAGAATTATTAATGTTAAGCTGACCTTGCAAGTCAATGTAAAGATAAATTGTCAAGGTTGGAAGATAGAATGTATTTTATTATCCGTTTATTACCTTGATTTATAACATTCAAATATTTAGATATATGGCAATAGGCCTCCCTTTATATTCCTGCCCCAGGTACAAGAAACAAAGGCTCACCTGCCACGCCTTCCTATTGTCTCCTAACACATATTCTATTCCCATTGAAAATAATCTATACACTGCAACACTATTAAAACTTCATCATTTCATGCCAGTGACAACCTGAAAAAAAAAAAGTTGTTCATTTCATTTCCTGGCCGAAGTAGCAAAGTTTTACTCATGCTCCCCAGGGATATTAAGACTCAGAATGTTGTTCCTGCCCTGTGAGTTGAGAAATTCTACTTGGATCTACACGAGCGTCTACCCATAATTTCCTTTATGTTCTCATGATATCTCTTTCCCAAACTCTTCACAGGAACTAATTGAGAGCATATCCGCAAAACGTTCAGGAAACAGTAAAAGCCACACAATTGTAATGCATCAATGTTATTCTCGTCTCTCATCACCACCTCCCTCCCTCAGTGAGTTCCCTGAGTTATTATTGCCTAAGAGAAGTTCAATCAGCCTATTCTGGGCTCAACCATAGAATACAGCTTCTGTAAGTGTAATACACTTTCACTTTGATCTCAAGCCTATCTTCCCTACGATGAAGCAAAGAAGATGCAACTGAGATTACCCAAGAAAAAATAAGAATAATAGCTAACATGTACTGTGCTTTTATCATGAATAGACATAGGCTAAGCACTTTTGTGATGTAGGTACAGGTATTATTATCATATTATAGATGGAGAAACTGAGGTCAATATAGTTTAAGTAATTTACCCAAGCTGATAAGATTCAGAGTGGGTTTCAAACCCAGGTATTCTAGCTGTGGAGCACTTAATCACTCCACAGTGTTGCCTGCAGAATATCAGGTTGTCTTTCCTCCTGATTCCACCAAAAATCATCTTCAGCAGACTCTGCCTATTAGCTTTTAAAAGCTATTGCTGGCTCCCAGAGAATTTGAAGCCTTGTAAATGTAAAAGTAATCATCATGCTTCATTATTATTATTTTCCTAGCCCCACCATGGTCCCTTTGAGACTAAATTGAAACATACTAGCCTTTAGCTCACCTCCCATCAGACGGTCAATAACTTGGCCAGGAAACACAATGGTGGTAGGTCAAGCATGGGTATCACAGAGTATGTCTGATTACTTAATCCAAAGATATTTGACTAAGAAAAGCCAGTATTTAAAGACCTGAGTAGCCACATAAGCATGAGGCACCACATTTTTCTTTCTCGCCAGTCTGAAAATTTTTAATACAGTATAATCTAGTTTGTCTTAATACCAATACATAGGGTTAATTATGCTTACCTATTTTACATAGCAATTTGTTGAAGGTCATCATTGTCTCTTGGTAACATGAGGGCAAGTGTAGGAGTGTGCGGAAAAGCACTTTATATTTCCATAGTCATTTAGAGCTCTCTTAAGATATACTTTCAATACCTTTCTGAAACTTGCATTTTTAAAACTCTTAACTCACTTGGAAATCACATAAGTGAAATAAACATCTCAAAATATTCATTGAAGAACACACATTTCTTCTACCCAAACCAACTAAACCCTATCTAAGAATGCCAGAAAGCTGTTCTTTGCTCTCTTAGCTGCCTTTCAAAATGCAATCATTCTAGCAGTCACTTCACTCACCAATTCCCATCTAATCGTTTTCATTTACTAGAGTGCATTGGCTCAGTCTCCACCAAAACAGCAGCTACATGCAGTGCTATAATGTGGTTTTGCTCATCTCACAACCCTCTGTGATAGCTTTAGTAACTTCTATTGTACATTGATAACAGCTTCATTTGTCACATGCCCACTGAAAAGAACTCAGTTCCTGTTCTCAGATTGGGTGGGATGAAAGCCAAGAGCTTCCAGTGCTCACTGTGGATGCTAAGATAGAATGTACACTGTTAACATCCAATGGCAGATAAGAAATGCCAGGGTATAAATCCCCAAGAGACCAATACAGCTTTCACCCAAAGCAGAAAGTAATTTTCTCTTTTGCTCTGGTGACTGGGACTACCCTGTTTGGATCATTTGGTTTGCAGCATAAAAGGCATGATGTCTGGGTGATAATGGGAGGTCAACAATGAAGAGAGATGGGACTTCTTGTGGGAAGGCGGGGGGAGTCAAAGTTCACTTGAGGCATTTTAAAGGTCTCACTGCACCACTGAAAGGTGCCACAGGGAAATGCCATCTACAGTGGTACTGATGCAGGAAGACTGCTAGGAGCTGGGTGTGGACATCTATTATCTCAGCAGTGAAGTCCCTGCAGATGATTTGGCAGCCTGCTCAAATGCAGTTTACCTCTGTGTCCCTGACTTTCCCTGTTCTGTCCTGGACCATGGCTAGGAGACATGTCTTTGCACTAATGTTGTGAACTGAGAATAAAACTGAAGGCAAGCGAAAAACTTTTCTGTGTTAGATTGTTGAGCCTGCCCTAGACCAAGGAGGAGTCCTGTTTGATAGATGTACAGATTACCTACAAGAATGATTATATGCAGTATTAGATCTTTAACATCAGAGAGAGTGTCTTGATTCCAGTTAAACCGCCAGGCCTAGCAAAGAGGCTGTTGCACATTAAGGGTCAATAGATATTTGGTGAATAAATAGAAGAATGAAAGACTGATTAAATGATTAAATCATGAAGAGACCAGTTTATTTTCACCTTCTGAATTACATTGAGACCTTGTCCTGGTAGAATGAGCACATATAGTATGGGAAAATCTGGTTTTTGCAAGATATGTAAATAATTTTATGAGGTAGGAGGACCAATGAACTATCAGATTTTCAAAAATAAGCTAAAGCTGTAATGTCAGGACAAGGGGAAAGCAAGATTTGATTTACAAAACTTCAATGCATATACGACATTGTAGAAACATGTCTATTATATAAAACAGGTATTTTTTCTTTAATTAAGTTTCCAAAAACAAATTTACCATGAAATGATGTTTAAATGTTTTGTTGTTGTTCTTTTTTTCAGGTAAGTGAAAAGATATCTTCTGAAGTGTTCTCCAGAAACTGTGCAGGTGGCGGTTCTCTTAGAAGAAAAAGAAAGGCAGGGATCCTTGAAATGGTAATATTTCAGTTGTTTCATATACATAGAAGTGTCTCACATGGCCAGCAAGGTGATCATTTTCTCTTATGTGCTTATACCTGTTTACTTCATTATAACTTGATATGGCTCAAACCTCAAGGTCTGTGGGAATTGTTTGTTTTTGTGTATCTGCATGAGAGCCACTCATACCCTAATCCAAAGTTTCTGCAGCCCACCCTCAGTGGGAAGCTCATTATTCATAAATTGTTTAAAATTGAAATGTCATTCTAAACAGATCCTACAAGAACAGACATATACAATTTAGACTGTATAGTGCAATATATATATACACACACATATATGTGTAAATATATATATGTTTGTAACCCTGTTTTCTTTCGTAACAGTTTCCTCTTGAATATGAAGTGCCTTACTTTTCCTGTTTATGGCAGTGTTATCTGTTTAAAATGTATTTGTAGCCTGTAGACTTTCAGTCTAAGTGACAAGCCAGCTGAAACATGCTACAGATTTTAGTAGTTATACAACCTAGTTTAACAAACTAGCTCCCTGAGAATCAATGACTGACAAAAAAATTTGATTTACAAACCTTCAATGTATATGGAATTCCAGTTTACAGTATAAAGTCTGCAAACACTTCACATGAGGACAGAAGCAAAGGAAGTAGATACACGTAAATATTAAATGAAAGGTTTGTGAGATTATATTATTGCAGCAGATTTTAAAAACATAATTTGCTAAATGCACTCAATTGGTTCAATGATGAAATTTACATCCCAAAACTAAGGCGTGTTTTCTATTTGCAAAAGTGAAATGAGTTTCAATGAGTTGTTAGTGTTTGGAAATTCCTACCAGAATTTTCTTTTTAAATAACCTTTTCTTTCTATCTAAAATAAATCACTCATTTGCTGAGAAAGTATATATAGTTGACTTAGAAAACACTAAAATATGTCATATAGCTTCCTGCAGAGTTAGCTATACAATGCTCAGTACTTTTTAATATTCACACACATGGTTAAGTTTTAAATGCTGGTCATGACATAAATATGTGCAATGAAGTATAAGTCACCTAATATCAAAAGTGTATATACCAAGTATTAATAAAAAGTAAAGATAATTCAAAGCTATTAATAATCAGAAATGGATCCTTCACTCAAGAGGTCAGCACTTTAGAAAGAGGTAAGACACAGCCTATACTGAATAGCAGCATTTAAATTGAAGAAATTAAAGGTATTTTTATGCTTTTAATATAAGAAATATGTGCAGAAAACTAAAGGCCTAAACTATCATTCAGATTTGAGAAAGTATGTAGTGGTTATTTTCTGTTTTCTGGTTATTTTCATTTATTTGCTTATTTTCTTTCTATTGAAAGTATTGTTACATCTTTCTCCATAAGAAAATGTTTTAAGTTTAGATTTAAAATATAAATATATAGGAAAAAAGTAAGCAGAAAAATGTCCCCACTTGTTAAATCAGTTGGTTATTCCCCTTTGAGGAAGAGAAAGAAGCTCAATTACAGAGTATTTAAATTTCTAAAATTATATTGGATTCTAAAGAATGTATAATTCAGCAGATTATTTTCTTAATATATGACACATCAGGTAACATGAATTACAGCGACAAAAGTAGCTCCTTCTGTGGTACGGAGTGAACACAGCAAAGCAGATTTTCTGTGTGAACAACACACTCTCCTCTTGTATACTTGACTCCCACTGTCTTAAGGAGTGTCTGGTAATTTATATACCATTTAACCCAGCAATCTCATTACTAGGTATATACCCAAAAGAATATGAATAATTCTATCATGAAGATACATGCACATGTATGTTCATAGCAGCACTAGACACAATAGCAAAGACATGGAATCAACCCAAGCATCCATCAATGATAGACTGAATAAAGAAAATATGGTACATACACACCATGGAATACTATGCAGCCATAAAAAAAACAAGATCATGTCCTTTGCAAGGACACGGATGGGGCTGGAAGCCATTATCCCCTGCAAACTAACACAGGAACAGAAAAGCAAACCCCACATGTTCTCACTTATAAGTGGGAGCTGAACAATGAGGATACATGGACACAGGGAGGGGAACAACACACACTGGGGCCTGTTGTGGGGGTGGAGGGAGGGAGGGCATCAGGATAAATAGCTAATGCATGGGGGACTTAATACCTAGGTGATGGGTTGATAGGTGCAGCAAACCACCATGGCACAAGTTTACCTATGTAACAAACCTGCACGTCCTGCACGTGTATCTTGGAACTTAAAATTAAATTACATTTTAAAAGAAAAAGAAAGTAGCAGACAGAAGCATCAGTGAATGAATCTTAAGGATCTAGCCAGTCTAGAAGACTTTGTGAATTAGAGGGAGGAAGAGAGAATCATGGATGCAGAAGAGAGTCAGAACATTCAATTCATCAAAAGTTCTCTCTCTCAATTAGAAATCTGTCCATTTCCCAAACCTTATTTATAGTCCACAGATTCTTCAAGATTTTTCTCTCATTTTCTTAGTCTATGAAAGCCACCTAGTGTGTCTATATTTCTATTACAAATAGACAAAGAAGTATTCTTTGATAACCTAGAATTCTGAAATCAGTTAATAGTACGAAAAGCATACTTAACTTCCTAATTTTATTTATTTAGGCATTCATTTCTACTCTGTCTCATTTTCCAAAGGATTCAAGGGGTTTAAAGGGTAGAGTAAACAACACTCCTGCATTTTCACATTATGATTGAAAGACTAAGCATACGAATATCATGGTTTTGGTTGATTTGAGGAACTTCTGCCCTGAACAGGGTGATCTGTTACATAATCCAATCAATTCACTCAATTCAAAAAAATATATCCAAGGATCTGTACAACCATGTGCTTGATGGTCAGAAAGATAAGTTTGTAAAATATAGCTACTGCCTTCAGGGACTTTGCAGCTTAGGCCTCCTTTCTGGCTTCTTTTGCTTGATCGTCTAGTGGTTTAACCTTTAGTCACTTAACTGATAACCACAGTTATCACTTATTCACATAACTGATAACCACATGTTATGCCTCTTTCACAGCACAAGAAAGAAAGGTTATTCCTCCAGCACAGGAGGCCTTCCTGTGAAAGTCAAGTGAAACTGGATTTGACTGAACTGGGTCAGATGAGATTTTGATATTATCAATGTAGTTGTATACAGTATTTTGGCTTCTTCACTAGCTTGGATAATCAGGACATGACAATTATAACACCTGTTTCATGAGGAATGATAATCATATCATGACATTTTTATGCTTCATTCACTGTTATGATTTGAACTGCTTCATGTCCAACACCGGTTTGTAGAGTTTTAGTGTTGCATTACAGCATTATAAAAACAAGCTAGAGTCACATGATTGTAGGCAAAGTTTGGACTGTTGCAGTAATATATTGATTATTTCCATGACATCCAAAATAAAGACTGCGTAACTATAACATAAAATGATTACAAAGCCAAGAAACTCATAGCATTGGTTGACAGCTAATAAATTAGTTTGAACTTTAAGTTTTCAAAGAATTTTCTAATGGAAAAAAATTTTAATGTTTATTTAACTGATTATGTATTCTAGAGAACTTTATGATCTTGCTTTTCTTTTGTGACCATGAATTCCTGATTTCCTGGTGTTTATGTTTATGATTTGGCTGATAATCTTGTTTCAAGTACTTCTTACATGGCAAGTGGAATTGCTGTTAGAACTCACCACATGTCGTCACAATTCTAAAATTAGTTAAGAATGCATTGTTTGAGCCCACATGGACTTCCTTTAAAGTTGGGGAATATCCTTCATGTATTTGAATTTGGCTACTTTACAACCAACATGTACTAATTTAGAAATTCACAGCACCAGTATGTGAACATTTTGTAGTCTTCAATTTATGCCTCTGAAAACAGTAGTCTCCCCAAAGAAAAAAAATAGCCTCTTCTAGAAAACGAAGTAAAGGCAAAACCAAGTTGATATATTTCAAAAGCTGTATGCAGCATCCAGTTCAGATATAATTTTCAAAGAATGAATTTTAATGCACACAGCCCTATTAGCACAGGATCAGATTCCTAACAAATCGATTGGACGTGCAGAAAGAGTCTGTGTCCTAGATTCAAAGTCATTACACAGTCTTAAACACAGCTGTGCGGCAAGCCTTTCATTCTAGATGGACATGAGCAAATTGAATGGTTCCGAAGGTGATTGGCTGGTGGATTTCCTACAATGCAATTTTCAATAATGACAAGTTTAATGAAATCACTATTGTATTATTTAGCAAGGGAATGTGTATCCTATTTTGTATAGCCATCAATGGCTGATTAAGTGTGCACAGGAGTATGAATGCACAAATATTTAAACAGATTCAGAGGCACCCATTATTCTTTGGTTTAGGGGAGGTACATACACCCAACCCTGCCACTATCCTTGCCCAACCAGGGATGAAGATAATCCTATACTTTTTATTGTAATTTTACTTCCTTTCTGTCATTCCTGAATTCTGGCTTCCTGCTGTCTCTAATCTTTTATTAGAATTGTCAATTTCCATTGAGTATATGATAAACTTTCTTCTTAATTGTAAATGTTTTCCATTCTATATCCAAAAATATGTGCTTACACAAGCATTACACATGCAAAAACATTATATATGTAAACTACTAACCTTGTATCATTGTTTCATGCATGGACTCTGCAGATGCCAATGAGGAAAATAATACTTTTATTCTTTTTTTTTTTTTTTTTTTGAGACAGGGTTTCACTCTGTTGCCCAGACTGGAGTCCAGTGGCATGATCTTGGCTCACTGCAACCTCCACTTCCCATGTTCAAGTGATCCTCCCACCTCAGCCTCTCTAGTAGCTGAGACTACAGGCGTGTGCCACCATGCCCAGCTAATTTTTGTATTTTTAGTAGAGACAGGGTTTCATCACGTTGGCCAGGCTGGTCTTGAACTCCTGACCTCAGGTGATCCATCCACCTCGGCAGCATGAGCCACTGCGCCTGGCCTATAATTTTATTCTTAATTTTATGTCATATGAGGATTGGGGCAGAAAGATCCATATATATTCTATAAAATTAAATTCTAATAAATAAATGAATATCCATGGAGGAGATTATTTTTCTTGTGAAATTCATTCCCAGTACCTACGTTTATTTACAGAAAAAGTGCATTATAACTGTTCAGTTTTGGTGAATAACTCTATACTTGTTGCTTATGATTTCTTATGTGTGGAGCATAAATAAAAAAATTGTGTTATTATAAATTGTCAAATTGCCAATCATCTTGCAAAAGTAGCCATTCAGTCTATGTAATCTTAGGAAAGCCTGCACATATTTCTGGAAAAGGAAGTTTAGGAGGTGGAAGTTTTTTCTACCATGGTTGAAAGTCTTCTTGATTGAACCAAAGTGTCAGGTAAACAAAGCAGAAAAACAGAAACACACTGAGCTGTTTTTACAGCTCAGTGTAGTTGTATCAAGAGAATATACATCCTTTTCCTTTTTTATTATGAGGAGCCCATTCTGAGCAATGAATATAATTAGTTAATAAATAACTCCTGTTGTATGCCTTAAGGAACTTAGCTTCAGGGCAGTTGTTAATAGCAGGCAGCTGGAAAAGACATGGGCATTCTATCAAAGAGACATACTGAAAGTTAGCCAACAGAAGCTGATTCTTTCAAGTTATGCTATAAATCTAAGTCAACAACAGATAGCTTGTTTACAAAAAGTGATAGGAAATCAAAAGCTTTGTGGAGTATATCTATAGAATGAATATACTGATAACTATGAAGATTAGCAGATTTTTTTTATGTCACTAGAAATTATAAAAGTGTTGCGAGTAATACATTTGGTCAAGAAAATTATAGACTAGATTTTGAACTGCTTTAAAAGTTATATAATATAGTTATATTAATACTTAAGATGTATTAATATAATTAAGAAGAAAACAATTTAGTCCACTTTAATAGACATTTATTGATAGACACTGTCCCTGGAAAAGTAAAGATGAGGATGGTCCTTGTCTTTGAGGAATTTATATTCTGGAAAGAGAAAACAACAGATAGGCAGATAATTTTAGTGTTAGATAAAATGCAGCAATAGAGTGCATAAGGATTCACGTTAGTACAGTGAAGAAGGTGTTCTTGGACCAACTTCCATGGCAGAGAAGGACTCTTGGGTGTTTGAAGGAATTGAGAAGTTCATCAGGCAGAGGAAGAAGGGGAGGATGCTCCAGACAGAAAAGAACATCATCTGCATGTGTTCAATTTTCCACTTATACTCTCTGTTACAAATATGTCTGTTGAATGAGTAGCATATTCTACCCAATATTTTTAAACCTCTTGCCTCTCCTATAATGTTTACTTTTAGTACTCCTTATGGGTTCCTCCAATGGGAAAGAAGTGAAAAATTAACACAGGTGGCTATATTCTTGGATAAATCCCCTGATAGTATTTAGTTTCCTTATCCTTTCACAAATAATAGAATGAAACAGAAGCTGTTGATTCACTCTCTGTGTCCATATAAATTAACCACCCCTACCGCCACACACTCACTCACAAGCTTTCAAAAGATGAATCCTTCTAAATCTCTTCCATCACTTTATTGCTTTCACTTGAAGCTTAGGAAAAGAACAATGTTTATGTCTTTTGCTATTCAATGTCATACATCCAAGTGCTCAACACAGTGCCATGCACTCTCCATGGGATGTCTTATTTAATCCTTACAATAGCCTGAGAGACAAATATTACTTGCTTTGTTTTATACATCCGAAAACAGAGGCACGAAGAGGATAAGTAATGTTTCCAAATTTATTCACCTAGTAAGTTGTGGAGTCAGTTTTTGAATTCAGGCAGTCTGACTCAGGGGCTGCACTCCTAAATCTTACTCAATACTGGCCCCTTGTCTGGTATACATTCCATAAATATTTAATATGTTTACAATGTACAAGACATTTGTGTGAATATTTTTTATGACTTACAGAATTTTATACAGTTTAGTCTGCTTCCAGTTCATTATTTCATTTCAATCCTTAAAACAATTCTATTAGGTAGTCCAGCCAGGTAGCTAAACTTTATAGATGAGAAAATTAAGAATCAAGGCATTTTAATTGATCAGTGTCTCACAATTAAGAAGCAACAAGGCTTAAATCTGGTTTTTTTTTTTTTTTTTTTTTGATCCTACAGCTTTTTTTCAGACCAGAAAAAAATGGGTAATACTAGAACTATCATTCTAACATATGAGGGGAAAATGATCACGTTAGTGAACTCATACAAAGCCACAGGCTGAATTATTGAAAGACTCAACACTAGGATCGGGTCTCTAAATGGTGATTACAGCCTTTCTCTCAACCACATCATTTCAAAAGCTTGAGCAGATCTTGTGGCAGTTAGCTTTTTTTTTCCACCGCTGATAATCTTGAATAGGTTGTAAACTGCCCCCAACATCTCACTTGGTTTAGGTAAAATAGAAGGTTGGCTACTATAAAACTTAGAACAATAGCAGAAGTTTGTGTGTCGTAGAGACCTTTAAAGTCACTGCCTGATTATAGCCAGTTACATAATTGTATGAACAAACATGAAGAATTATGGGTCTCCTACTTCCAAAGATAGAGGTACACATATACAGCTGATTATAGACAGTAATGAGAAATCTATTATTCACTACTAACATTAAGTACTCATTTCCCAGTCCCATGCAACTTCCCATTTTCTTCCATTAAACTTAATTCTTTTGGGGACATTAGAGAGGCACCATAACAAAGTAGCGGAAAGCTCATCCAGCTCCACTACTTAGAATTATGTCCCAAAAGGCGGATTAAACTCTCGTGGCCATAATTTCTTCTTTTTAATCTGAGAATAGTCATCCCTAACTAACAGGGTGTGTAAGAAATGTTGCTTACCGTATAATAGGTGCTCAATTAATACTGTGCCGTTATCAATATCACTGGCACATAATGTATTTGTTTGTATAAATCTATTCAGGAATTCAAGCCATTATTATTTTGCAGTAGGTGAAGTTTGTTATTAGAAGCCAGAGTTCACTTTTGTGTACCCCTTTTCCTTCTACAGAGCTAGTAGTAATATATTATGGTAAAAAACACACAGATGTGGAATATGGAATTTGGCCCTGCCACTGAATGTCTCTATAAATTGTCTATGAGTAAGATATTTAGTTTCTCTGAATCTCAGTTTTCTCATCTGAGATGAGAATAACAACAATGATGGTAATTTATGCCTGTTGCAAAAATTAGGTGAGATGAGACATAAAAAATACATAGGGCAATATATAACTGATGATAGATTTTCATATGGATTGGTGACTTTTCCTCTTTACCTTCCTGCATACCTATGTATGCCACACTCTATTTCTTTATCCTCCTAACCAAACCGTATCACAGGTCTTTTAATTGCAGCAATGTAAAATATTGAAGTTTAACACCTTAAGATAGAGCCATAGAGTCTAGGCTATGAGACTTTAGCAATAATTAAAGGCTGAAAGAGATGAAAGCAGGCTTTTGGTTATATTTTTACTTAGATTTTGTACCCTAGTCATACCAGAAAACTCACCATTAACCCCTCTTTCAAGTCACTAAAACTAGATAATGATGTTCCCTCTTCTCAAAATATATGCTTCTTTTTCTATTTTTAGTGAGTTGCTTCTTCTTTACTAAGATCAATTTTATATGGTGCCTACCTACTTGGAGGAGGCATTGCCAATTACACACACACTTGTGCTATCACAAATCAATCAATTTTACAGCTACTTCAACTTAACCATATATGGGGGCAGTTGTTTTGAAACGTGTGACTTAGCCAGAAAATTCCAAGCATCATTAACATCATTTTGCCCTTTCTTGGGATGCAGGACAATCATTATGGACCTGGTTTTTTTGGATAACGTGGTAAAAGGCTGTCAGCTATCACATCTGCTCGTACTTTACCTGCCTCAGACAGCTTCTGACCTTTTCTGATGTGCTTCTACTAATCTATCAGAGGCTGAGAAGCCAGATAACTAAGCTTTAAAAGAACTGCATATTTAAAAAGTCAATAAAGTTTGCCTGAACCTCTACGAGCCTTACTGCAGGGCTTTGGTGTAGATATTTCTGGCTTCTCTGAGGCCTTTATCAGAGACTTCTGACAAGCTGGACCTTCTGGGTAAGTGGGGAGTTACTGTATTTTAATCGCTTAGTGTCTACTTTATGGAAACACAGAATAAAAATGTAGACATAAACAGAATTTAAACTAGAAGGTAAGCACAAACTGACCCAGGCCATTTGAAATGTAATTTAATATAAAAATATTCAGTTTGCATTCAGCTTTTCTATTATGGAGTTGAGAAGTAAAGGGACCAGCAGATAAGAATAATGAACAAATTGTTAGATTATCCTCTACATACACTTCAAATAAACCAGCAAATCATTTATTTATTTGCCTAACAGTTGCTGCCGTGAGTATGGGCCATTAGTGACTATTAATATATGAAAATGTGTTTTTATTTCCCAAAGCAATTCTGAATTCCATAAATCTTGCTTTTCTCATTAAAGATATTCCATTTTATACATGCTTGATCAACAAATATGACCAAGGTCTACGGTGCAACTTTAAAAGTAACATGGAACCTTTAGAACAAAAATGACTAAAAGATAAATCGTGATTTTTTCTTACCGTTTTTCTCTGATGGAGATATTTGTTTTCAAGTGTATGCTAATGGCAGACATGAAAACTTTAAAAAATTAAGATATAGTAATTGTAACTTGTATCTACATATGTACGTTATGATACATTAAATGTTTTAATATTCTATTTGATGTAATTGGATATTATTCCCATTTTATAAGAGAATTAGAGAATTGAATAATTAAATAATTGTCCAGATAGAAATCTATTCAAGCCTTTACTCCTCTACTCGATGGTCATGTGGTCTAGGACATTGTAAGTGACATTCTGAGCCTAATTTTCATCTAGTATTGTAAACAGAGCTAATATCTTTTTATTGTTAGTTATCTTGACAGCTAAATACATTGTAGATAAAATGCTGGGTACACTGTAGATAATCAATGTGATTTCTTTTCTCCATTAGAATACATCTTCTAGTTTTATAAAGATTCAAACATTTGTAAAGGAAATCAAAATATTAAATAGTTTTATAAAGTTCAATTGCCCTGGTGAATATAGAAAATCAAAGTGTTTAAAACATGCTGAACTTAGGGTAAAACATACTCTAGTAATTACATACCTTATATTTGGAAAGACATTTTGCTTACACATTGTTTAAATCAATGTTAATTGACTTTGGCTTTTCCAAATATGAAAAAGGTGAAAAAACTATTTTCACAATTCCAATTCATATTTATTTACAGAAAGTTAGTATGTGAAATGAAAACAACACTGCAGTGGAAGTCAGAAGTTCTTGGTTCTAATCATGAGCCATGTCACTAACTGTGTGACTCTGAGCAAGTAATTTGACCTCTCAAGGTTTCATTTTGTTCATCTGTAACATGTAGAAGTTGAAATCAATAATTTCTAAGGCGTTTTCTAGTTGTAAGGAGACAAAACTCACAAATTGTTTTCTATAGAACAGAAGTTCAATAAAATATTAGATTTTCCTTTAAAAAGTTAATTCTTAAATAAGTCTGAGAAATGCTGAGTATTGTCTCCTCCTTTAGGAAATTTACAATGCATAGTGGCATATTAAAAGCCCCGAAACATCCTGTACTAAAGACACCCTGATCAACTGTAGCTTTAATTAAGGTTAGTGTTAATTAACTAGGGGAAGCATTTCCTAACCTTTTCAAACCATAGATTATCTTTTCTGGGGTGAGAGTGGGAGGTTAAGAACTACAAAAGATATCTTAATCTTTCAAAGAGTAGGCATTAGGTAGAACTCTGCTTTAACAAATATTGATTTCTATAATGTTTTCAATTTTTCTAAATCTAAACTACATTTTGAAAAATGGTGACAATGTGAAACTGTGTAAGTGAGAAAATTCATGCAAATGGAATTATCTATATATGCACAAAAGTAGATTTGGGCTTCCAACATTTTCATCTTTTCAGGTCCTCCAGTGCATAGAGTCAAGAGAATTTTGAAATAGGTTGGGAGCAATGAGTACTTCTTATATCCAGTGAAACCTCGTTTCAAAGAAGCTCTTCATATGCAGTTGTGGATAGCTTAGACAGTGGAGCAGCCCGGGAATGAGGGGATCCAGCTTTGAGTTTTCTGCCTGTCCTTCAATCCTCTGTAATCTTGGGTAGCTTACTTAACTTCTCTGAGTGTATAATCCCTCATTTATAGAATGGAGATATAATTACTTGTCTCACATCTTACTCATTGTATTAAATGAGGTAAAGAAATGTGAAAACAACTTGTAAAAGTATAACATTACGTATAAATGGAAACAGTTATTAATAGAGTCTGTGCTCAAGAAATATTTCTAAAATTATTAAATATTTTATATCTCCTAAAATAACAAGCCTGGGGAAACAAGAATTGCTATAGAATTGTAGGACTAGAAGTACTGCAAACAATTTATCCCCATGGCTTCATTTTTAAAAATAAAATGCCAAGGCACAGAGAAGCTAAGTGAGTTTTCTCATGCCATCCATTTGGCAGGAATAGAGCCAATTCTCTGAGCTAGTCCCTCTGACTCCGAGTTGATTTTTTCCCAGCACAACCACACTGGCTCAGTTAATGTACATTTGAGTATACTATACCCTTTATTATTTTCACAATTAATCAAATACTTGAACCATAAAAAAACCCCTATTCTAAGAAAGGCAGACAGAACATTGCCCTTGAAATATCACTGCTTTGTCTTCTGTATTTTAAAATTTAGTTTCTTTGTTTCTACCCTTATATAAAGATACTTTCGTTTTTCTCATGTCATTTCCTTTTTTATTTTTAATTTCTTGGCCAATCCTTTTCTTATTTTCTGTTCTTTTTTCCACTTTTTTTAGTGCTAAGCTGTGATTATATATTCTATACATTTTTATACATTAGATATTTTTCTCAACATGATAAAACCAGAATGCGATGGACTCTGAGAGTGGATTCTAGCTGGGTTATTTGTCAACTATGTACAATGCATTTTCTTAATCTAGTTAGCTCATTGGAATATAAAAAAGTATGGCTTGTAGTTGGTGGATAATTTGATTATAAATAAGTCACATCGAATTTTCATTTCTTAACTGTAGTTAAAGGAACATACTGGTAGATCTTAGGTTTATTTATCATTGCTGCTAAGAATAGAAAATGTTGCAATGAGCACAAACTGCAACTCAAGAGATGTTAGAATACTTATCTGATTATGAAGGTTGTATCTATTAAACTTTCTTACAATCAAAAATTCTTTCTTTTGAAATCTCAGTAAGAGATCTTCTTGATTCTTTGAAAGACCTTTGTTTTCCATAGAAATTTAGGACCAGATGGACTCTCTTATTTTTAAAGTAGTTTTATTATAAAGTTCTTGAAGACAAATCCTTCCATTTCTCTCTCCAACAAAAGTTATCCAAGTTACAACTCTCCTCTTCCCAGGTGGAAATATGAACATTATATAATCATATTCTGAGAAATGCACAGAATGTTTTAGCAAATAGCTCTTTAGAAGTAGATGGAATTTCTTTATTACAATAATTTATTTTACTTAGACTTTAATAGGTTTCAAAGACTTAGAAGAGTAGCATATTAATAGAATGAAACACAGTAGTAAATATCGCTAGATTTATTTTCTGATTTCTCCTTTAGTATTAACTATGAAGCTTATTGCAAGACAACTAATCTCTGAACTTCCCATTCATAATATATAAAAAGAGACAGTATTACTTGCTTGAAGCCCTCTGGTAGACTGTACGTATTTGTGGGGTCTTTTCTCAGACCCAATTCTGTGACTTTCTAGGTCATGACAGGGAGACATTAAGTAACTTCAATAGAATGTAAATACAATAATTTCTTTCTCCAAATTACTGCTGCTAACTCACCCTTGAGCAGAAAGAAAATTCTTAAGAAGTAATACCATCTTGCTGAATTTGCAGATGTGGAAAAATGACCATTGATATTAATTCATGTTGTCTTCTGGAGGTAATTACTTTGGAGCATTGGGGAAATCCTGGACCTTGCCATCGGTCTTAGATTGGACTACCTGGGAAACAATCAGACAGATTTTTTCTTGCAGGAGATTTATTGGGGATCACTCTCAGAACAATACCCATGTGGGGCAAAGGAAGTGAGGTTGGGCAAAGGGAGAAGCAGAACTGCCATGTAGCTGCATTCAAGATCTCAGACCATTCTAAAGGTAATTTGGGAGCATTTGAGGCTGGTCCTAGTTGAGGCAAAGAGTGGTAGGGGCCCATTGTACCAATTTCTACCAAGTGACTTGTTACTTTCTTTGAGAGATGGTGCCATATCAGAAACTCAGCATTGGTCTCTGTGGCTGATAGTTTAGACAGTTGGATCAGACTTGGTGAATGGGACCCCATGGTGTTGGGCTCATGCGTAGCTTCACTTCCTGTCACCATGGCTACTCAATTCAGGTACACACTGTGTCAGCGCTTGGGATGGCTGATGACAGAGAATGGCTAATGTCAAGTGACATTGAATGTCACTGGCTGAATTCCTCTAATTGGTTTTAGTAGCAGTCTCCTACTTGTTAGCTGCTCTTCAGTATGTGTTAATATGTAATTCAAGGTTCTTCACACTTCATGGAATTCCAGAATCCATCTATCTACTTCTTCTCTAGATATTCTGGAACCCTATCTTTCATTGTCCTGGCAGGCCCCCGGCCAATCAGGTAAGGTATTCAGTGCTTCCTTTGAATTCCAATATATTTTTTATCTCAGGACAGTTTTATTTTCTTAAAAAATGTCAAGTGTACCACTCAAATCTCTACCCAGTGAAAGAGTTTTGCCTAACTCTTCTCTTTTAGGTTCACCCCTGAATGGGACTTTGGATAATGCAGCAGCAGTCCATCTTCAGCATATGGAGATGTCCTATCCATGAGCCAAGCTCAGACCTTTTTCTCCTCTATCATCTAGTCATAAGAGACTCCTCTCTACCTCCACACACATATTTATCGATAGGTATAAACTAAGGAAGAGTTACTGATGCAGCACAGTGGGTGACATGGGTTCTGGGCCACCTGTTCATGTAGCTTATCTGTACTCTCTGGCCTCGTTTATGCTGATCCCAGATTCCTCATGTCCATCTCGTGATGAATTACTGCTGGACCCATCTACCTTACGAAATGGTGGTTCTGACAGAACCCAGCTCATAATGGGCAGCTCTGACCTCAAAGTCGCTTGATTCCTCACCACCAGGCACTCCATTTCTACTATAGATCAGAAGTTGTTTTTCAAATGGTGTGCAAATCTCTGCTTGCAGATAACATGGTCTTGTTCTAGAACTTCAGGTGTCTAGATTTTGCTTCTCCGATTTTGGGGCTTGCCCTAAACTTCATATGTGTCTTTTCCCATGACAGATACTTCTAATACCATAAAGTCTGATGGATCATATTGTTCAAGTGTCAGGGTTGTAAGCATTGCAGGCCAGAGCTGCTGCAGAGCCCTTTCTTACACTCGGCCCTCCTCCTCTGTGGCAGCTTTCCAGATCACTCAGTAAATGAGGCAGGGTAGGTTTTTTTTAAGTGTGAAATACTCTGCTGCCTGAAATCAAAGAGGCTTAGCAGACATTATGCTTCTGTCTTCATGAAAAGAGGTGCAAGATGCTATAATGTGTCTTTTCCTTCGGAGGAGATGTCCTGGCATACCCAAGATAACTGGATCCCTAAAAACATCATTAGTATGGTATGTCCATGAGTCTTCGTAGCTCATATGTTTTACCAAAGCTTCTGACAATTTTTACTTATTGAGTCCATTTTAAATAACAATCTCAAAATAGTGGACAGATGCCATCTGTGGAATGTTTCAATACTCCAAATCCCTTTGAAATATATTATGACAGAGGGTGGAAAATTTAACTAGGCCTCTGGCAAGACTATAAAACTCTTGTTTTTCCCACATGAATGTGAACTACTTCTGGCTCTCCTTCCTGATGGGGATAGAAAAGAACCAGTCTAGCTGATCAGTGGCCATATATCACATACCTGAGACCGTGTTACTGTGCTCTAACAAAGATAACACATCTGGCTCAGCAGCTGCAGTTGGGACTATCTCTTATTGTTTTGGTGGCTTACTGTCACACTTAAGAATCCTTCTGGTTTTTATGCAGGAGCCAAGCTGGTGAATAAATGGGGAGATATGATGAGAACCACCACCTTTGCATAATTGAATGGTATCCCTAATTCTGTCATTATTCCCAGGATCCAATATTGTTTCTGATTTTTAATTTTGGCTAGGGCAGGGGCACTTTAAGAGGCTTCTATATGGCCTTCCCTACTATGACAGCTCTTATCTTCAGATCAAGGAATCTATATAGAGGTTTTGTTAACTACTGAGTATGTTCATTTCAACTATGTACAGTGGGCTCAATGTGAGCTGACCTTGGCCAGGACTCCATCTGACATTTGGACCATGTGTACCACCTTTCTAGCATGAGGGCCATTATGAAGCTTAAGGTCAGTGGATAACAATGTCACCTCGATCTTTGTCCAAGAGTCCTTGAAGTATCTGGATATCCCCATTTCCCCAGCGTATGATTACTTGAGTAAATGGCTACAAGCCACAGATAAGAGCCATGTTTGCAAAATTTATTCTGATGGGGATCCAGCCTCTCCTTCTGTCAGGGGGAACCAGGTCTGGCAAGTGGCTCAGGTGTGAAAACTGGGTTTGGGATAGTGGACTTTTTATGTGAGCAGACTCCCTCTGCCTCCAAATCATCTATCTTTGATTCTTTTGTTGTTACTGTTGTATAGCTAGAGCAATATCTTTGCTGGATGCCCATCTATCTTGCTCTTGGAGGCATTATCTTTTATTAACCATTTTTTAATAATTGCACATACAGTCTTGTTCCTGGTGATTAAATGCTTCTACCTGACAATCACCTTTGCAACCACCTTTGTTGCTATCAGGGAGCCCAGTTATTTAGTATCATCTCTTACTATTAGCTCTGGCCTACAGAGAGTTTCCACCACTGTGATGATTAATTCTGGTGCTTTTCTTTAAACCAGCAAATTCCATATTTCTTTAGTGAAGGAACTATTTTCCAGGCCCTTCCATGAAATGGCATCATGTGATAGACTTTCTGGCCTTAAGTCATATATCCACTCTACTATACTATCCACTTCTTTGAGACTTTCTACCACCTACCATGAAAGATTTAGCATTTCTACTTCATTTGTATGGATCGTCACTTTATCCAAGCTTCCGGAGTTATCCTAGGAATATCATCTCCCAGTGTTCTTGCTAGAATGTTAAATTCTTTACCATGGGGGAATGCTTTCATATTAATAAAAATCTCCCTTAGCCAACCTTATATTCCATTCTTATTGGTCAGGACCTTCAGGATATACTTGCATATATACTATCTCATGGGATCCAAGCCCACATATACAAACCCAGCTCCTGCCAGCCTGTTAGTAGGCCCTGAAGCTCCTTCAGAGTATCATCCCTGTATTTCTTTTAACAGGCTCAGTACTCCCCTGTCTGGGTTATGCTGAAGCTTAATCCTAGTTATTTGTCTGATATCTAGAAGAAGTGGGTTCTCAGAGGGTTTGTTGTCTTGCAATATCATAGCCTCTGCATTATCTTCAAAGAAGAAATGAGCACAGGTTTTTAACAAGTAAGGATGAGATTCTTCTGGAGGCCTAGAGTGCTTAGGGGATCCTGGGGATTCAATATTTTTGAGTGGGTCAACCCAGATGTCCCCACACTTAGTCCCAGAGTCCCACTCCTAATTTTGGTAGCCATCTTGTGAGCACTGGAAATTCAACTTTCTCTGGAGTTCTGCTACTCTTACAATTAAGCCTTAGGTCCAATCCTCAGCTTTTTCTGTTCTCTGGCTATAGGAGAAGAGAGTTTACATGTTGCCATGAAGGCCTTCTGGCACTCAAACTGTGCCTTATATTGATGATTAATCACCTTTAGCCTTTTGTTGTCTTTCTCCAAGGCACTGATCGTCCTTAGCAATAGTTATCTGATTCCAAAATCTTTATAATTAGGATTTCTCCAAACTTCTTAAGCACCTGTGATATTGCCTGTAAAATTTCCTACACTGAAGGGAAATTTTCTACACTGATGGAAGTTTTAAGAATTTCACTGCAACCAGGTGCCAGGGGCTATCAGTGCCCCACCTACCACTGGAAATGAGAGACTCAGTGCCGGCAAGCCAGAGATGAATACAGCTCTTAGGTCAGGTTTTTTGAGAAAGAGAATCTGAGACAGAAAATTACTAATGAAAGCTTTTAGAAGAGCTCTTGGAAACAACACCTATGAGAGATAGGAATACAGGACTGGGCAAAGGGTGAAGCTGAACAGCAATGCAGTACAACAGAGGCTTCCACCAACACTATGGGGGATTTCCGGAGCCAGGATCACTCCCTCTCCCACCTGATACAAGGGGTCCATACCTTTGTATCCTCACAGTGACCAATTATTGGGTGCAGGTTGTCCTCAGGAAAGGAGTAGAGCCTTGGGTGAAGCACTTTCCTTTAATGCCAACTACAGGAGAGGGGATCCAGCTATGAGCAATCAGCAGCTAAGACTCCAGTCACATGGAGCAGGAAGTGCCTTAATCCTAAATAATTATCTGGGAAGTGCACTGCAATGTCCCCTGTATTATCTTCTCTGTGCTACTTTATGGTTTTTTGTGTGTATTTTGTATATTTTCTTTTTTTTTTTTTTTTGAGACGGAGTCTCACTCTGTCGCCCAGGCTGGAGTGCAGTGGCGCAATCTCGGCTCACTGCAAGCTCCGCCTCCCGGGTTCTGGCTATTCTCCTGCCTCAGCCTCTGGAGTAGCTGGGACTACAGGCGCCTGCCGCCACGCCCGGCTAATTTTCTGTATTTTCAGTAGAGATGGGGTTTCACTGTTTAGCCAGGATGGTCTTGATCTCCTGACCTCATGATCCCCCCGCCTTGGCCTCCCAAAGTGCTGGGATTACAGGCGTGAGCAACCGCTCCCGGCCTACTTTATGTATTTTTAAAATATGTTATTGCAGGTATTTTTATGTATTCCTTCATAGCACTTTATTATTGACCAAGCCACAGAATTACTGAAAATGAACACATTTCTAAATAAAACCGCCCATTCTGCCCATGCCCAACACATACATGCATACTTTTAAAAAACCGATTTCAGCTTTTCAGTCATTTCACTAGTGTGCTGACATTACCCAAATAGCAGGCTCCAAGAATTAAACAGCATGGCTCAAAGGGAATGGATGTGGTTGTACCCTGTAGGAATTTTGCTGGCTCACAGCTCCCTGATGCTTCAGAAGTACTTTAACGTACTACAGTGCTGCAAAATATTGACTCTAAAACACCTCTGTCCTGGAATAGATCCACTCAGGAAAAAGCTCTTGAACCTCTGTTTCTTCCTTAACAATTGAACAGCTGTTACATTGTTACGAGTTTTTGTGGTGGTGGCGATAGCAGTTGGTGTGAGTTCAAAGGGCAGAAATACAGGAGTAATATTTAAGGAGATAAGAAAATACTTTGATAATTCAAAGAATTTGATAGAAAAATCATTTCTCTAATGTTCAATTGGTAATACTATGAAGCTATTGTAAGAAATATTTGTTTGCAGGAATACTGCTTCATAGCATGACAGTATAGAGGAATGGCATTGATTAATCAGGGATTTCTAGCTTCTAGTCCAATTTTCTCTCTTCTTATACAGACTAGGTAACATAAACAAAACCCACATCCTCGAGTGTCAAAGATGCAGTCTGAAATGAACAGTAAAGTGTCTCTTTTGCCAAGTCTCTTCATTTTTGTGCACAATTTATTAGTGCAATTGATAGAAAATATGGGTCATGTTTTTTCCAATCAGAATCCCCTTGCTCTAATCTCCTTCATCGTTCAACAACTGATTGAACAAAACTGGGTCCAAGGCTTCAGCATTTATGCATTTGCTATAGATTTGTATTTAAATCCTCAGAGCTAAAATGTAAGGGAATAAAAGTCATGCTCAAAACCCAATGACTAGGGCCGGGCACCAGTGGCTCACTGAGGTCAGGAGTTTGAGACCAGCCTGGCCAACATGGCAAAACCTCATCTCTACTAAAAATACAAAAATTAGCCGGGCGTGGAGGTGGGCTACTTGTGAGTAGTCCAACTACTTGGGAGCCTGAGGCAGGAGAATCGTTTGAACCCAGGAGGCGGAGGTTGCAGTGAGCCGAGATTGTGCCATTACACTCTAGCCTGGGCGACAGAGCCAGGTTTCCTCTAGAGTTCTCCCTTTCATTATATTAGCTGACTTTTTCACATAAACAATATGCCGTGACTCTTGAACATATATAAATACCAACTGCTGTTATAATCAAGTACATTTTGTAACATACTTAATATGACCTAAATTCTTAAATATAGTGAATTGTTTTTCTGTAAGAACAAATAATAATTTTTTACACTTTTTATCTGTCATTCTGAAGTCAACATCCGTGTTGAAAATTACCTGATGCATGTGTTATTTATCATATACACATTAAATGACCGTGGTACTAAGTGATATTGTAGACTTAGGGCTTGCAGACCTTCCGTTGTCCTTTCCACACTATGCTGCTTGGCTGAAGTCCACTGTCTTCCGTGAAGTCCACTCACATCTAATCTTTTAAATCCTTTATTGTTATTCTGTTCCTTCAGCCACACTGACGTCTCTGAACCAATGTCCTTGAGCAGCAGTTTCTGTCCTGTTCTCCAGCATCAGGTCTCTGGGATGCTGGTGGCTGGAACTAATCCAAAGTTGAATTAAGCAGCAGTGAAGGAGAGCATGAGAGCTTACATTCCCTTGCTTCCCTCAGGGTAGGGGCAGGGTTAGGGTGCGGGTGTGATGGGGTGTGGCGAAGAGGGAGTGGGCAGGATGGAATTGACTCCCAAGTTAGATAAAACTGTAAGTTTGTGCCGTTACATTCCTGGTTATTCCTCAAACACAACAATTTTGGGCAGATATGAAATAAGAAAATTTGTAAGATAGAAGACTTATATAAGATATAAGATAAATTTTTTTGAGTGTAGCTATGTTATAACATAGTCCTGGAGATCTATTGTACAGCATGGTGACGATAGTTAGCAATATCAACTATTGTGTTCTTGAAATTTGCTAAGACAGTAGATCTTATGTGCCTCACCACACACTCAGATACACACAATGGTAACTATGTGAAGTAACGGATATGTTAATTAGCCTGATTGTGGTAATCATTTCATAAAAATGTATAACTATATCAAAACATCATGTCATACACCTTAAATGTATACTATTTTTATTTGCCAATATCTCAATAAAGCTGGGGTAAAAAATGAAATAAAAGTGCAAAAGTCCAGGAACACCTGATACAATTTTGAAAGAAAAAAATATGATGCAATTTTGTGGGAGGAGGCTTGCTCTTGTCAAGGTTTACAATAAAGTGATAGTTATTAAGATAGTGTGGCATTGAGTCAATGATAGACACATAGGGAACTGGATTAACATTTTAAGACACACTCAATTGTATATGGATTTAGTATATAAGGTTGTGGGATGTTTTTTGTTTGGTTGGTTGGGTGTATTTTTGGAGAAAGGGTCTCACTTCATCTTTCAGACAGAAGTGCAGTGGTGAGATCACAGCTCACTGCAGCCTTAGCCTCTTGGGCTCAAGTGATCCTCCCATTTCAGCCTCCCAAATAGTTGAGACTCCAGGCGCATGCCACAATACCTGGCTAGTTTTTAAAATTTCTCTAGAAGTGGGATCTCATCATTTTGCTCAAGCTGGTTTTGAACTCCTAGCTTCAAGCATTCCTCCTGCTTCAGCTTCCCAAAATGCTGGGATCACAGACATGGGCCACCACACCTGGCCTCAGGTGTAATATTTTTAATTAGAAAAGTAATGTAGGGGTTTTCAGCAAATGGTATGTGAACCATAAGCAACACAGAAAACGGTAAAATTCAATCTTTGCATTACATTATAGTAAAATAAATTCCATGTGCTTAAAGAATAAACTATTAAAGATCATATTTATGAAGAAATATGTATTTTCATGTTTTTTTTTTTTAATGAGACAAGGTTTTGCTCTGTTGCTCAAGCTGAAGTGTAGTGGGGCGATCACAGTTCACTGCAGCCTCAAACTCCTGGGATCAAGTGATCCTCCTGCTTCAGCCTTCCGAGTAGCTGAGACCATAGGCATGCACCATTATGCCCGGATAATATTTTAAATTTTTTGGAGAGACAGGTCTTACCATGTTGCCCAGGCTGGTCTCAAACTCCTGGGCTCAAGCAATCCTCCTGCCTCGGCCTCCCAAAGTGCTGGGGTTACAGGTGTGAGCCACCATTCCTGTCCTCCTGTATTTTTATCCTTATATAGGTATACCTCAGAGATATTTCAGGTTTGCTTTCAGATAACTACAATAAAGAGAATATTGCATAAAGCAAGTCACATGAATTTTTTGGATTCTCAGTGCATATAACAGTTATGTCTATACTATATTGTAGTCTATTAAATGTGCAATAGCATTATGTGTGAAAAGAAAATGTGCATTCCTTAATTAAAAATGCTGTATGGCTAAAAAATGCTAACGATACATCTGAGCCTTCTGGGAATGATAATCTTTTTGCTGGTTGAGGGTATTGATTTGATTTTGTTGGCTGCTGACTGATCTGGGTGGTGGTTTGTGAAGGCTGGGAGCAGCTATGGCAATTAAAGAAAATACGACAACAATGAAGTTTGGCATATCACTTGACTTTTCCTTTCACTGTGCTTTCTCTGAAGCATGTGATGATGTTTGATAGCATTTTACCCACAGTAGAACCTTTTTCAAAATTAGAGTCAATCCTCTCAAACCTTGCCCCTGCTTTATCAACTAAAGTCAAACTAAAGTTTATGTAATACTCTAAAAATATTCTGTTCTGTTCTATTCTATTCTAATTTTCTATTCTATTCACATCTTTAGGTTTCTTTTTTTTATTATTATACTTTAAGTTTTAGGGTACATGTGCACAACGTGCAGGTTAGTTACATATGTATACATGTGACATGCTGGTGCGCTGCACCCACTAACTCGTCATCTAGCATTAGGTATATCTCCCAATGCTATCCCTCCCCCCTCCCCCCACCCCACAACAGTCCCCAAAGTGTGATGTTCCCCTTCCTGTGTCCATGTGTTCTCATTGTTCAATTCCCACCTATGAGTGAGAATATGCAGTGTTTATTTTTTTGTTCTTGCGATAGTTTACTGAGAATGATGATTTCCAATTTCATCCATGTCCCTACAAAGGAGATGAACTCATCATTCTTTATGGCTGCATAGTATTCCATGGTGTATACATCCCACATTTTCTTAATCCAGTCTATCATTGTTGGACATTTGGGTTGGTTCCAAGTCTTTGCTGTTGTGAATAGTGCCGCAATAAACATATGTGTGCATGTGTCTTTATAGCAGCATGATTTATAGTCCTTTGGGTATATACCCAGTAATGGGATGGCTGGGTCAAATGGTATTTCTAGTTCTAGATCCCTGAGGAATCGCCACACTGACTTCCACAATGGTTGAACTAGTTTACAGTCCCACCAACAGTGTAAAAGTGTTCCTATTTCTCCACATCCTCTCTGGCACCTGTTGTTTCCTGACTTTTCAATGATTGCCATTCTAACTGGTGTGAGATGGTATCTCATTGTGGTTTTGATTTGCATTTCTCTGATGGCCAGTGATGGTGAGCATGTTTTCATGTGTTTTTTGGCTGCATAAATGTCTTCTTTTGAGAAGTGTCTGTTCATGTCCTTTGCCCACTTTTTGATGGGGTTGTTTGTTTTTTTCTTGTAAATTTGTTTGAGTTCATTGTAGATTCTGGATATTAGCCCTTTGTCAGATGAGTAGGTTGCGAAAATTTTCTCCCATTTTGTGGGTTGCCTGTTCACTCTGATGGTAGTTTCTTTTGCTGTGCAGAAGCTCTTTAGTTTAATTAGATCCCATTTGTCAATTTTGGCTTTTGTTGCCATTGCTTTTGGTGTTTTAGACATGAAGTCCTTGCCCGTGCCTATGTCCTGAATGGTAATGCTTAGGTTTTCTTCTAGGGTTTTTATGGTTTTAGGTCTAACGTTTAAGTCTTTAATCCATCTTGAATTGATTTTTGTATAAGGTGTAAGGAAGGGATCCAGTTTCAGCTTTCTACATATGGCTAGCCAGTTTTCCCAGCACCATTTATTTAATAGGGAATCCTTTGCCCATTGCTTGTTTTTCTCAGGTTTGTCAAAGATCAGATAGTTGTAGGTAAGCGGCATTATTTCTGAGGGCTCTGTTCTGTTCCATTGATCTATATCTCTGTTTTGGTACCAGTACCATGCTGTTTTGGTTACTGTAGCCTTATAGTATAGTTTGAAGTCAGGTAGCGTGATGCCTCCAGCTTTGTTCTTTTGGCTTAGGATTGACTTGGTGATGCGGGCTCTTTTTTGGTGCCATATAAACTTTAAAGTAGTTTTTTCCAATTCTGTGAACTCATGCTATTTCCACCACATCTGCAGTTACTTCTTCCAGTTGATGTCTTAACCCCCTCAAAGTCATTCATGAGGGTTGAAATCAACTTCTTCCAAACTTCTATTAGTGTTGCTATTTTGACCCCATTTCATGAGTCATGAATGCTCTTTATGTTATCTAAAATGATGAATTATTTCCAGAGGTTTTTAATTTACTTTGCCCAGATCCATCAGAGGAATCATTATCTATGGCAGCTGTAGCATTACAAACTGTATTTCTTTATTTTGTTTTATTTTAGATTCTGGGATACATACAGAATGTGCAGGTTTGTTACATAGGTATACATGTGCCGTGGTGGTTTGCTGCACCTATCAACCCATCATCTAGGTTTTAAGCCCTGCATGCATTAGGTATTTGTCCTAATGCCCTCCGTCCCCTTGTTTGCAAGTCAAAATTATTCCTTGATCCATGGACTGTCAAATGGATGTTTGCATTAGCAGGCATAAAAACATTAGTCTTCTTGTACGTCTCCATCAGAGCTTTTGGGTGACCAGCTGCCTTGTTGATGAGCAGTAATATTTTAAAAGAAATATTTTCTTCTGAGCAGTAGGTCTCAAATTGGGCAATTCAGTAAACCATACTGCAAACAGATGTGCTGTCACCCAGGCTTTGTTGTTCCATTTCTAGAGCACAGACAGAGTAGATTTACCGTAATTCTTAAGGGCCCTAGGATTTTCAGAATAGTAAATCAGCACTGGCTTCCACTGATTGTTACCTGCTGCCCTAGCCCCTAAGAGAGCCTGTCCTTTGAAGCTTTGAAGCCATGCATTGACTTCTCTGTAGCTATTAAAATCCTAGATGGCATCTTCTTCCAACACAAGGTTGTTTTGTTTACATTGGAAGTCTGTTGTTTAGTGTAGCCGTCTTTATCAATTATCTTAGCTGGATCTTCTGGATAACTTGCAGCAGCTTCTACATCAGAACTTGCTCCTTCCTTCCCCATGTATTTTTCTTAAACCTCATAAACCAATCACTGCCAGCTTCAAACTTTTCTTCTGTGGCTTCCTCACCTCTCTGAGCCTTCACAGAATTGAAGAGAGTTAGGGCCTTGCTTTGAATTAGTCTTTGGCTTAAGGGAATGTTGTGACTGGTTTGATCTCATATCCATATGGCTAAAACTTCCTCTGTATCAGCAAGAAGGCTGCTTTGCTTTCTTATCATTCATGTGTTCACTGAAGTAGCAGTTTTAATTTCCTGCAAGAACTTTCCCTTTTCATTCACAACTTGGCTAACTGTTTGGCAGAACAGGCCTAGTTTCAGCCTATCTTGGCTTTCAAGATGCCTTCCTCTCTTAAGCTTAATCATTTCTAGCTTTTGATTTAAAGCAAGAAATATGAAACTTTTTCACTTGAACACTTGGAGAATGTTGCTGGGTATGAACTGGCCTAACTTCAATACTGTTGTGTCTCAGAAAATAGGGAGGCTTAAGGAGAGGGAGCAAGACAGGGGAATGGGTAGTAGGTGGTGCAGTCAGAACTAATGTATGTATCAATTAAATTTGCCATTTTATATCAGCATGACTTGCGGCACCCCAAAGCACTTACAATAGGTAACATCGAAGATCACTGATTACAGATCACTGTAACAGGTATAATGGAAAAGTCTGAAATATTGTGAGAGTTGCCAAAACGTGACACAGAGACATGATGTGAGTAAATGCTGATGGAAAAAACAGTGCCAATAGAGTTTCTCAATGCAAGGTCACCACAAAGTTTCAATTTGTAAAAAGTGCAATCTCTACCAAGAGCAATAAATCATAGCACACTAAAGCAAGGTATGCTTATACTTCAGATTTGCTAAGACAGTGGATATTTGTGTTTTCATACACACACAAGTTAGCTAGGTGAGATGATAGATGTGCTAATTAAATAGATGGTGGTAACCATTTTGTAATCGTATGTGTATCAAATCATCACATTGTAGACTTTATATACTACTGTACTTGACAATTATATCTCTATAAAGCTGAAATATAAAAAATAATCAGCCTCATTAAATTTAGAATTGCATGCATTTTGGGATTTTTTTGAGGGCCTGGTACAAAATTGCATACAGTACCCTGTTGATGAGAGTCCCTGCATGCCTCTCAGGCCCCAGGTAAGGAATGAATGGGCCTTCCCTGTGCTTTTTTAAAAAATAGAAATTATAGTTCATTCAAAGCAAGGAAATAAAAATGTCTAGCCATCCTGAGAGAAAATAAGGCCTTGCAGTGAACATTTATTTACTGGCCTTACCGCTATCTTTATCTTAATATCTTTTTATATTTTTTATACTTATTTGCTGTTGCTCCAATTCCTTTCTTATTTTCATGATATCTCACTTAGGTCCTTCACTTTGTTTTATAGTTTTGAAGAGAAGGTGTAGGTTTAAAAGGATATATAGTGAAAGGTCTCTCTATTACTAAGTCATGAGAAGAAGTCTTTCTCTCACCTCTGTCCTGCAGTCATCCAGTGTCCTCTCTGGAATCAATCAACACAATCATTGCTTGTGTATCCTTCCAGAGATATACAGTATCTCAGGATATAGACAGGTAAGCTCATCTATAATGAAATTTATGTGTGATCTACTTATCTAACTAGTTAGCTATTCTCTTCTCCCCCTCCCTTTTTCTCCTCAAAAGTTATATGAGTCTACATTTACTTAATCTATGTTGAAGATTATTCCCTATTAGTATATGGCTTCTTGAATATTTTGTGGAATGATACTTCACTATGCTGTGTGTGTTTATCCAGTCTCCTGCTGTGGTATGTTGTTTTCAATATGTGTAATTACAAACAATGCCAATTGCAAATAATATCACAATAATTACACTTGTCCATACATCATTTAGTACATGTATAGGTATATTCCTAGGACAGATTCCTCAAAGCCGAATTTATGGCTGAGGGATGTGGACATTTGTGATTTGACAAATATTGTCAAGTTGTCCTACATTGTGTTTGACCATGTTATGCTCCCAATGGCAACTGTGATGGTATTACACATGTTTCTGTAAGCCATCTCAAATCCTTTCTTTAAAATGTTGAGGAATAGATATCTGATTGAGGTAAGTAATTAAAATGAAAATTCAGTTTGGTTTTAGGCACAGTAAGATTTAAAAATTAGTGAAGCTTCTCCATGATTGTGTTGATGGAGAAATATATAAGCTAAGTGAAGGATCCGGTAACTGCCAGCATACCACTGTAGTTTTAACTTTGAATGGATAACTGCAATGGATATATGGATGGATGGATGGGTGGAGGGATGGATGGATGGATGGATGGATAGATGGATAAATACAGATAGATAGATAGATACACTGATATATGATTCACAGGAGATCCGACAGCAATTTCCCAGTTGGTAGTGAAGGAGAGCAAATCAGCAAAATAAATGTAAAAAGAGGTGTTAATAAAGTATGACAAAGAATAGGGCAATACATGTATACCAGGTTAAGAAAAAGCATCAAGAAGGAGAAAAATCTAATGAAAGGCAAGTCTGTAGTGTTCAAGAATACAGAAGAAATCTCTGGGTGTAGCCAGAGTAACAATAATGTAGAAACAAATGCAGCTTCAGGGCAATGAGAAGGACTGAAAGCAGATAAACAGCAAGGTTTTCTGTGGATGCTGACTGCAAATGCTAAGTTGATGCTCCAGGAATGTGTTGCATGATTCAAAGTATTAAAAAGATTGTTAAAACTTTCTTTCTAAAGCAGAGAGAACTACAGAATCAAATTATATTTTCTACATAACCAGAATATAATTATCACACAACAAAGAAAGGGTATTATATGTAAAGGCAAAGACTTCAGTTGCTTTAGCCTCCAAAGATGTGCAATATAATTAATACAAACTTCCTTAGACATCTTGTACTAAGGTAACCAAATTGTTTATGGAACATGCTAGTTTCAAATATGAATATATTATTAAATACTGGGTATTATTTATAAATACCAACCTTTAGTTAGCACAGTTAGAAAGGCTATTCTTGGGAGGAGGAAATATCTTTCTAGTGGTCCACATCCAATATAAAATATTGACCAATCCACATGGGGATATTTACCAAAATAGAAAAAGACAAAAAGGAGTTAATAATTATAGTGCTTTCTTATTAATATTTAAAAATATTTTTGTGTAACCTTTAAGCCTTCAAGAAGACTTGAGAGGGGGAAAAATATGTGGAAGAAGAATAGGTCTAAAGGAGGAATAAGATTCATTGTAGAGAAATGAACATTAGATAAAGTAACAAGGAGAAAAGAGAATTGTTTGAAATGGGAATCAGAGGACATGTGATAAATCACTAGGTAATAAGAGATCGACAAGGCTGGCACTTGATGTCTAGAAAACTTGTGTCCTGAAACTGGTCTCAGCCTAGTAGTAGCTAATGAAGAACAGCCACCACTAGAGGCTTCCACTGCAGTGGACGGCGCAGATATGATAAATGGGAGCTGACACGCCTAATCAAAGCATCATAGAAAATGGAACATATGTTAGCAATTACTTTGTCCAAAGCTCTCATTTTATATATAGGAAAATCAAAATCCAGAGAGGGAAAATAATTTGCTATTGACATTTGATTATTTTGTGGAAAAACTGGAACTACGACCTAGGACTGTGGATTCCTAATCCAGAGCGGAAATCCAGTAGTGATCATTTTCCTTAACCCCATGCAATCTTCCCACTTTCTCATTAACCTCCCTGAAGCCTCTCCATATTGAATAGCAACTTCTCAATCACAAATTTAATAGTGCATAAGCCTACACTTAGCTGGATAGTGGTAAAGTTAACAAAATATTTTCCCCTAGATCATTATCCAATTGTCCTTATTTACTCCCCAAACTGGTACACACACACAAACAAACATTTTGATGTTTAATTATACACCACTTGGCATTTTTATTTAGTTGTTCCAGTTGAACAACTTTTGTCTTTCCAATTACCTTATAAACTTTCAGAAGGGAGAAATCATGTCTTTTTTTTTTTTTTTAATTTTCTTGTCCTAGCAATATCTCAGGTTTTCAGTCACAATGTAAGGCTGTTCCTAAAGATTTGTAGACAGGTGGCTGTTTATCTCAATCTTTGTTTGGGTATAATTCTGAAGGAAAATTAAATTGTGTTTCAAATCGCCCTCAAGATACTCACCTCTGGAGATGCTAATGCAATTTCTACATTTAGAAGGCTCATTGACCAATTAGATGCACACTTTGAAGAATGAAATTTGATCCGATGTTTTTATGTTAATTCATGATCTCCTTTTCCATCATTCTCTTTTCTTGCATTTTCTGTCATTTTAAGCTAGCCCAAGAGAAGTGACTTTCACTATTTGTCGTTTCTCTGTTGTTTAATCAAATGGTGGGCGGAATCAAGGTTGGCTGCTCTGAACTGCATCCAAGCAGGGATTCTTAGAGGGTGGAAATGTCAGCCTACCTATTGGGAGCTATTCAAGAACCAGCTGGAGCTGCCTCAAACACTCTTAATTACCATTTTGTATTTTAAATGTCTCAGTCAATGTGGTCTCTTAAAAAAGAAAGAAAGTAAGTAAAATAAATAAGTCCATGTAAATAAAAAAGAAAGGAAACCCAGTAGAATCCAGACTACACCTGGTGGATGAAGCATAGGCAAAACCTTTTTTAGCATGTCCTTTAAAAGATTGCAGTTAACTGCTCAAATGCACAAATCACCTTCTTCAATGATTTGTTCTTTTGGGGACTGACTGCTGCAAGTAATAGCTCAGCCCTCATTCTAACTCGAGTTTCCAAGAGACATTTATTTGGGTAGGGCACCAACTATTTGGAAATCACCCTGCAAATAAAATTGCATAATTCCAGGTGTTGCCAATGACTTTATCAAGGAAATAAGCTTATTTTAACAGAGTGACCACTGTTACGTCAGACTGCACACAATTTTCCCATTCTCCTCTAGCTTCTAACTTCTTTCTTTCATGTTCCTTGTCTTTGACCCCACCCTTTCAGCTCACATTTTTTGGGTCCAGCTCTGGTACCCTTATAGTCAATGGTGTTACAAACATAGTTGCCACTGGAATAGAAATGACTAGGGAACATTGTCCATGTGTATCATAACAATGTTCCTATTCCACCTACAATGCAAAAACACTCAAGAGGTACCAGGCGTACTTTTGATATTTCTTTGACTTTCACTTCGTGGCAGCCATCTTAAAAATATATATATAATCCTAATAACACACTATCACAGGAATTCACTATTACAGACTGTAAAAGTTATATGTACACTTGTATTTTTACTATAATTTTCTATTCTTTATTATATGGTTATATGATTACAATTTAAGGCCAAAGCTTATTTAGATTGCATTTCTAACATAAAATCCCTATAGTGACAACATCATGGAAAATCCACTGCTTCAGGAAGCTGCATTAGGATCAGCGGGAGGTTTGGAGATGTTAACTGTAATGTTATTAAATGTATATTGTGCTTTATTCAGTGAGAGATATTTATTATTCTCATCATACTCCTTAGAAAAACCTGTGGAAAATGAGTTTAAAATGGAATTTATATCAGACATGGCTTTAAAGAAATGTAATTTTCAGAGGAGATGGGGGTGAGAGATTGTTGTGTGTAGCTATGTGTGTGTGTGTGTGTGTGTGTGTGTGTGTGTGTGTGTGTTTCACAAATACACCAAATATACATTACTAAGAATATTTCCCTTCACAGTATGTACTTTGGGAGATCATAGCGTCTTTCATTGCTCATTTACGGAACTCTTTTTCTTTAGAATAAGTCCTTAAATTTATGGTGATAGAAGAAAAGCAGTTTTGTGAATGCTTTCTAAACTTTGTTTCAGATGAAAAATAAACTGCTTAATTTGTCAGTTAATTCTAAATGATTTTTAACTGTTCTCAAAAATACAATACTCTCTTCAAAGTCAGATTAACCACTTTTGATGATATTCTTCTGCATAACGGGCACTGGGCTTTGAAGGTAGGACCTTAATAGGCCCTTCAAACAATTGTTCCAGCTATGTCAGTATCTCAGAAATGTGTGTACAGCTTGCAAACTTGACTGCGTTAACAAAGGTAGTACTCATTAGAATATATAAAGTCTGTTTTGTTAAAAAAAAAAAAAAAAACCTCAGCCATTTGATCCTATATGCTATTTGTGAAGGTGAAAGAAAAAATATTATCATTCACTTTTTAATGTATTTTTTTTTTCAAACTCATGGCAACTTGATTGTCAGTGTGGGCAGGGTGGTGTGAGAGGTGTGAGAATGAAAGTATTCATTTCTTAATAAATATTTTTGATCATGAACTATGTGTCTGGCATCATGGTAAATATTGGATATATTACAATGACACAACAGACATGGAACCATTCTAATGGAACTCATAGAGAGCAAATGCAATAATTACAACAATGACTGTACAGATATGAACTATGATAAAATTTTGAAGCAAAAATACAGTGTGCTACAAAAGCAGAACATAGGAGGCCCTAACCCAGTTGTAGAGTCAGGGAAGGCTATAGAGACAAGACCTAAGCTCAGGTCCAGCCATGGTATTAACCACTTTCGGTACATTATCTTATTTTATTTTCACATCAGGTTTGAAAATTATATCTTATTTATCCCCACTTTATGGATGACAGAACTGAGACTTCAGAAGATTAAGTAATTTGTCCAAATCCACACTGCTTACATGAGGCATTATTAATATTTCAATCTCTGTCTATCAGATTCTTAAACTTGTGCTCCTTCTTCCACACCTGTTCCCAGCAATACCATGAAGAGTCTGGCAAATTATGCTGCACTGATTTGCTAAACCTGCAAGGATCCTAAGTATGTTAAGTGTGATTCAGTTGGCATTGTGTGATAAAGACTATTTGTGCCAAGGGAATTTTGAAAATAATCCAGTACAAATATACATTATCTTAGATGAGCACAAATTGATCAGTTGATTCCTATCTTTTTTCCCCCTTTCACAGAAATCAGTTTCCATGGAAAATATAGATCCCTTAAATGTAATAAGCAGCAATCTGGGACAGGGTAGATTGTGTCACTCAAACAGATTTTGAACAGATTTGGCCAACTTTACTTCTTCTCTTACACTCAGAGACTGCTGTCATTATTTGGCCCAGAAAAATCTGTCATTTTTTACTGGGTAAATGTTCCAACAATCCAGGGAGTTTCAGTAAAACATATACACACTTTGCGTGTTCTCTTCAATTTTACAACTATTTATTGGGTACTTTCTACATGCAAAGCATTTTCCTAGGCTGTGTCTTTTTTCTCCAGCAATGAACCTATTTAGTATCTAGTATAATGGTACTAAAACAATGTAATAATTGAATAAAATAACTTAATGTGGGGGGCGGGGTGTGATTTAACTCTCACTGAGACAAAGTGCCAGAAGAATTGAATGGAGGAAAGAAAGCACATCTGGCTTCTGAAAGAAATAACATTTGAAGTAAGACAGAAAATGTGGGTGGGGAAAAGAGAGAGACCCTGTAAAAGAATAATAGTATGTACTAACAATTGGCTGTAGAGAAGTTTTTGGCACACTTGTGTGAAGAGTGATTGCCCCTGAATGAAATAGATATGCATGTGAGAAAAAGAAGTTAAGGCTTACAAATTAAGATGGGGGAGGGGGCCAGTAATTTTGTGGAGTAATGATTTGAAGATAACTGAGAGCCTTAAGAATTTTGAAGAAGAGGTTAATATGCCTAGAGGCACACTTTAAGAAGAAAAATTGATAAATTTGTTTAGAATTATTTGGACTGGAGGGAGAAGAGGAGAAAAACTTAGAGATTCTTTTTAAAAATAGTGACAATGTGAATGAAAGGATCATGATGAAGTGTATTAATATAGAAAAAATGGTGGTGTTTTCATAAAGTGTTAGTGATCTGTAGCATCATTATGTGCTACTGCAAAAATTTTGCATTTACTTTTATTTATTAAGTAGAAAGAAAAGTGACTGAGTATGGTTCGTGCCAGTTGTTGGTGAGAAACTGGAATTCTTATACACTGATTGTGGTGGTGTAAATTGGCAAAACCATTCTGAAACATTGTTTAATATTACCTAATAAAGCTGATATACCACACTTTATGACCCAACAATGCAGCTCCTAAGAATGTTCTAAATAACTGTGTGCATAAAATGAAAACACACATATAAAAGTATGCATAGCATTTATAATAGCCCCAATGCTGCGTTGCTTCCATGCAACACAATTGGTCATAAATACAAGAATACATAAATAAGCTGCAGTATATTCCACAATGGAATACAATATAACAATGAAAATGAACGAATTGTCACTACATACAACTGTGTAGATGAATCTCCTAAAGACAGTATTGTGCAAAAGAAGTTGAACACAAAAGAGCACATTAAGTATTCCATTCATATAAAGTTTAAAACAGGTCAAACTATTGTATCAGAAGTCAGAATAGAAGGTGAATGAACAATGATTGGGAGGGGCAAGAAAGGGTTCTCAAAGTGCTGGCCAAGTACTTTTTCTTGGTTTAAGTGGTGGTTACATGCGTGTGCTCTGTTCATGAAAATTCACCAAGGTGTCTACTCATGATTTGTATACTTTCCCATATGCATGCTGTATTTCAGTAACGAGTTTGCTAAATTTAAACAGTAACTGAAAAGTGAGAACTCTTATGGAAAAGTAAAGACATTGCAAATGTGAAATGGAAGTGAAGGCATCAAGATGTGTAGTCATTTCAAAATGCTACATTTCATTCCAAATGGTGCAGTGCAGTCAAATATCTGGCACTTCAACTTTCTGAGAACCAGAAATCACTCTGGAGGATGAATAGGACAAATAATGTAGAATTCTATTCTACTCTCACACACATGAGTTTACTGTGGGGTAGTTTGTAACACAACATGTACATCATACATTGAAGTAGCTTTCTTGGCTCTTTTAGCAAATATTTATGTGTGTCGTTCTCTATTGTGGAATGGGAGAATCTAAAAAAAAAAAAAAAGCCGATGGGCTGGTGGTGATCATTCTAAACACTTGTTTTGTTAAACTATGTCCTATCATGTTCTGGCATCGTCATTTTCATCACACGTAAACATAATGGTTACTACAGTGTGTACACTCATTAAAACAACCTATATATGCCTTACTTGATGGTTGACGACTCAAAGCTCTAAGCCCTAAACTCCAGTCTGGCCTTGTTATGTATGCCAACTAAAAATGCATTCACAAGATAATGATCAATGACTACTTTACTACATAAGTAAAGGTAAAAGGAATGACACCTGAAATTTTAGTAAAACTTGACAGGTATAACAGCAGTTGGAATCGCAATTGAAATACAGAATCTTTGATATTTAAATTAAAACATATAAGCCATTGTTTTTCTTTTGTTCCGGCTCTGATATGTCATTTGCAGGCTACTTGGAATCAATGCTAACAAACTGTAACCTTTGAGCGTGGTTTTTGGTGGATAGGAGCTGAGAAATTAGTTTTAATAGCTTGCCCTTTAAGGACACCAGTATTCAGAATTTTCAGCAGAAACCAAAGATTTAAGGTCACAAAAAGGAATTAAGCACCCTGTCTTCACAATGGATAACTTCTTCAAAGGCAGGTCCCTGAGCATTGAGGGAATGAACTTGCAGTGAGTTTTCACTCCAGGGAGAAATGACACACCTTCATTGTGGATAGAAGATGCCTTTCTTCTGGGCTAGCTACTAACTCATTTTCCCTATATTGAATCCAGTTTCACTATTTAAATGCAAAAACCATTAATATAACAGGCTTGACATCCAGGGTATGATTAAAGTGCTATAGCACTAGTCTATTTTTTTTTCTGGAATGGGAAGGCAATTTATGCTGAATCAGAAGGGTCTCTCACTACATATAACCAGCTAGCTTATGACATTTTCAATTCAAGACAATGTTCATTCAGTGCACATATGCACGCTTATAGAGGGCAGCAATGTCATAGGAAAACCCAAATTCATACAATATATAGATATACTCAGAATTTTGAGGTATTTGATATTTTGCTAACTCATAACACACACATCCACACACACACACGCACAACGGGGTAAAATCTGACCTATAAAAGCTGAAATAAATAGGGTCTTTTCCCCAATCAAATTCTTGCCATTTTTTAAATCCCTGTGATATTTCCATTTGATACAGAAAACCTGCCTAAGTTGTGCCAGCCTTCTTCATTTTCACATTTCCAATACTGGGGGAATTAATTGATTGTTTTATTTTAAAAGACTTCCTGCAGGGCTGCAGACAAGCTGGGTAAATAAAAACAAGCAAAAGAGAGTAAATTGTTTCTGTACATGATATTATACCCTACTTAATTATGTTAATAGAGACTCTAAAATAATTATGAGCTGACTGTTCTTATTTATGCCATTCTATTGGCATAAAATTTACTTTTCTCTTTTAGGGCTGCATGGATCCATGTATTATAGGGTTCTACATTTTTCTCTGGGTTTTTCTTTTTTCCTATTTTATTTGTTTGGCAGTAGGCACCAGAGGATAAGTGAAGTAGGAGGTAAAGCCAAACCAGCAAAGTAAATATTTATTCAAACGTTAGGACTTTTTCTTTTAATGTCAGATATTTGTACTATTGCTGTTCCCATTATGAGTGACATTCAAAAGATGGGAATAACTTTTCCCTGGCCCTTTTGCTGAAGTTACAGAAAAGGGGAAATACTCAGAGGGAAGCTGGTGTTAAGCAGTTAAATCTGAATTATTCCATTTTTCTTTTCAGCCTGCAAATATGTTTTTCTACTACATCTTAAAAATCATGCTGAAATCCGTTTGACCTCTTTCTAAACTCCAGCCATTCACTTAAATGTGGCATCCTATGCACTTAAAGCTTTAAACTATAGCAAGAGGGAGCAATGCGGGGAAAAGAAAAAGCGTATTTGTTGAGTTGAAGTTGAGCTGTGCCCCAGACACTAAGTCAGACGTTCATTTACTTCTCAGAACAATTTTATAGGAAAAGAATACTTCTTGCAAAAGTCAGAAAAGTTAATCGTGTGCCCAATTTTATACTGTTAATAGATAGCAAAGTTGGAATTGTAAACTGGCTGTCTGATCCAAATCCCATGATTTTTATAATACATGTTTCTGAAAAGTACAGGTCTAAGAAAGTAATCTTATTATCTAATTTTTAATTTGTGCTGTTTCTTATACTGTCAGGAAAATAAATTTACCTTAAAATATAATTAATATTTCATTTTAAAAACTTGGAAAACGCAATTTTCTCAGCAGGATACTAATAGAAGCATGCAGCTTCATTTCTAATGTAAACTACACCCATGTAAGTGGTTTTGTCTCTAAGATGATCCTAAGTTTCTGGCTTACTTACATTTTGTGCTACAAAATATACTGGTGTTCTGCATAACAGAATACCAGAGACCAATAACTTATTTAAAAAAGAAATTTATTTCTCACAATTCTGGAGGCTGGGGAGTCCAAGATTATAATGTTGGCATCTGGTAAGGGCCTTCCTGTTGCATCACCGCGTGGCAGAAGGGGAGAGGGTGAGAAAGAAACAAAAGGAGCCAAACTCGTTATTTTATAGGGAACCCAATAACAGCATTAATCCATTCATGAGGGCACAGCTTTCATGCCCTAATCACCTCTCATTAGGCACCACCTCACAACATTGTTGCAACGGGGATAAAGTTACCAACACATGCTTCTTGGTTATCATATTCAAACCATAGTAGTTTCTAATGCAATGTATAGAAAACAAAAATTTACAGTGGTGATCATAGAAAGATCAGTGAAAGTGTCAGTCCTGGGACAAAAGATCAATTTTATGCTTTTGTGAGTTTTTCTTGCCCAGAGTCCCAGAGATTCAACTGCAATCTGATTTTACTTTCAATGCTTCCCTTCTCTGTGAGCTTAAATAGTCCCATCTGAAACTAGACTGTCTAAAGTTCATGTAGAACTAACTCTAGCACAGAGAGTTCAAATGTTCAGTTGAGCTAAGAACCTGAAGGGCCGATTATTTTTTTTTTCTTTTTAATCTAAATCACTTGTGACTTCTAAATTAGGATGGCAAGATTTCAGATATAGTATTTTCTGCTTCTAGTCAAGTCAGTTAATACTGTAATTTACTGTGTTAATGGTACCATTTGTCCCTTTTGGTCTCACCCCATATGTAAAGGCAGCAGTTTAAAAGCGGTTGCATAAACTTTGCTTCAACTAAGGGTAGAAAGGTTGTGATTATAAATAATGCACTTTACAGGATAAATAATGCACTTCAAAGAATAAATAATGCACTTTGCAAAATATAAATCAGCATCCTTAGATATTGACTCTGAAGACACTTTGGCAACCTTGATGGCATTACCATTAATATGAGACTCTAAAGAGCATGACTAAAGTACTTAATGCTATATTTCATATCACATTGTACATAATTGCAGAAGTGAGTTTTCACATTACTAAAGTAATAGATCAGAATATAATCTGGTCACTGATTATTAGGGATACCTGCACAAATAGAATTGCTAGGAAACTGCATTTATTTTTAATCAAAACAATTTCAACAAGGAAAGTTTTCAACCTTGAGTTGCCAAAATCTAAGATAACCCTAATCATCATCTGTCCTTTGATGTTTTCTTTTAAAAATCTGCCCTTGTTTGCCAGTCTAATCATAGAAATCACAAATTGCAATTTCAAGAAGACACAAAGATACAATATAAACTTTGATCTCAAGCATTTCTTGTAGGATTCCAAAAAGCAGTTTTGAGTTTTACAATTTCACTTTGCCAGCAATGATTAGAAACCCAGTGGCTGCCACAGTAATTGCTCCGTAATCATATCTGCAATACCCGACCTGGTTTATGCATACAATCTATATTCTAATAGCAGTCAACAGGTCACAAGTTAATAAAAATGCCATTAACATCCCCCTGTGACTAAGGAAGAGAGATATTCATCTTCCTAGGCTGTGGTTGGCCAATATAATTTCCTTGGCTGTTAGTGTAATTAACTGTGCTGGCCTGCGGAGTTCCCTGGAGGATAGTGCTGGCACAGGATGACCTTGAAGCCTGCTCTTGGTGATAGTGTGCCAGAGGGCACGGTTTGTCAAAGGTTTGGACTGGCCCTGAGTCAGGTTCCCAGGATGATACCTGCTCATGTAATCATGCTGGACACCAAAAGCATTTATACACAGTTTGTATTTTCCCAGGTTCAAGTTCATATAAATAGAGCAACTGGTAATAGTTGTGAAGTTGACCACTTTTCTTTGATATCTCCAGCCTCCCTTTTTGCCACGCTTTCAAATCTAAGACTTTCAACCTTGTTTTTCTATAAATACAATGTGCCTTCCTACTTTTCAAAGTTCTCCCATACCTAATCAAAACACAAAAACATTGATATCAACATTTAAACTTAGACCAATACACCATCACATAAAAATTTAAATCCTCTTAAGTATTTGCATTTGTAAACCTGCTTTTAAAAATGGATGAACATGTTTTTATTTCTCATAAAAAGTGAAAAATGGGGATTTAGGATCTGAGAAAAATTGAAGAGTGCTGCAACTAATTCCTGAGATAATATAATACTTCCTTTTAAACCTTGGAGTAAATTTGCTTTATTTATGTCTGGGGTTATACTTGGGGACTGAGGAAATGAATCTAGAAAGCCAGTGAGGAGTCTAAACATTTTCCTTTCTGTCCTCAATCACAGCTTTACTGTTTTAATATGAGGATCTCACTGGTCACTGTCAGTTTCCTAATGAAAAATATCTTAAAGATACCAAAATGCAGGGAAGGATATTACAAATGCATCTATAGTTTTTGTTTGGTTTTACTTATATTAATATTTTGTCACATTAGCTTCAGATCTTGTACTTTGAAGAAATAAAAGATTTCACGGACATTTCTGTCCCTCCACCCTGAGACATAATTGCCATCCTAAACTTTTACTACTGTTAAAGTGCTTTTACCGGTAAATAATCCGTACTTGAGTTCCTTGTTTTTTAAAATTTTATAAATGTGGCTGGGCGCAGTAGCTCAAGCCTGCAATGCCAATACTTTGGGAGGCCGAGGCGGGCGGATCACGAGGTCAGGAGATAGAGACCATCCTGGCTAACACGGTGAAACCCCGTCTCTACTAAAAATACAAAAAGTTGACTGGGTGTGGTGGCACGCACCTGTAATACCAGCTACTTCGGAGGCTGAGTTAGGAGAATCGCTTGAACCCAGGAGGCAGAGATTGCAGTGAGCTGAGATCATGCCACCGCACTTCAGCCTGGGCGACAGAGCAAGACTCCATCTCAAAAAAACCCAAAAAATAATTTATAAATGTTATCTGAATTGTGTCTCCTCACCGCCAGAATTGTATATGCTGTAGTGGTAATCTCTCATATCTCAGAATGTGACTGTACTTCCAGATAGGGTCTTTAAAAAGGTGGTTAAATTAAAACGAGGCTGTTAGGTTAGGCCCTAATCTAACCTGACTGGTGTCCTTATAAGCAAAGGAAATTTGAGTGCAGTGGCTCCCGCCTGTAATCTCATCACTTTGGAAGGCTGAGGCAAGAGAATTGCTTGAGACCACAAGTTCAAGACTAGCATGGGCAACACAGAGAGACCCCGTCTCTACAAAAAAATTAAAAAATTAGCCAGGGGTGGTGGCACGCACCTGTAGTCCCAGCTACTGAGGAGGCTGAGGCAAGAGGATTGCTTGAGCCTAGGAGTTCTAGGTTACAGTGAGCTATGATCCTGCCAGTGCACTCCAGCCTAGGTGACAGAGTGAGACTTTGCCTCTAAAAAATCAAAGGAAAGGAAAGGAAATTTGGACACAGAAAGAGACACCAAAGATGTACACATACAGTGGAAAGACCATGTGCGGATACATCAAGGAGGCAGGGCTGTCTGCCAGCCAAGGAGAAAGGCCTTGAAAAAAAACCAAACCTGCAACACATTGTATTAGTCAGTTTTCATGCTGCTGATAAAGACATACCCAACACTGAGCAATTTACAAAAGAAAGAGGTTTATGGACTTACAATTCCACATGGCTGGGAGGCCTCACAATCATGGCAGAAGGCAAGGAGAAGCAAGTCACATATTACCTGGATGACAGTGGGCCAAAAAAAAAGAGCTTGTGCAAGGAAACTCCCATTTATAAAACCCTAAGATCTTATGAGAACCATTCACTATCAGCACAGGAAAGACCCCTACATGATTCAATCATCTCCCACCAGCTCCCTCCCGCAACTCTGCTGATAAAGAGTTACCCAAGACTGGGCAATATACAAACGAAAGAGGTTTATTGGGCTTACAGTTCCTCATGGCTGGGGAGGCCTCACAATCATGGTGGAAGACAAGGAGGAACAAGTCACATGTTATGTGGATGGCAGCAGACAAAAAGAAAAAAAAAAAAAGCTTGTGCCCGGAAACTCCTGTTTTTAAAGCCATCAATCTCAAGAGACTAATTCACTATCATGAGAACAGCACGGGAAAGACCCGCCCCCATGATTCAATCATCTCTCACGGGGTCCCTCCTACAACATGTGGAAATCATGGGAGCTACAAGATGAGATTTGGGTGGAAACACAGAGTCAAACCCTATCACACATTGACTTTGTACTTCTAGCACACGGAACTATGAGAAAATAAATTTCTGTTGTTTAAACCATTCAATCCATTGTACTTTGTTATGGCAGTCCTTCAAAACTAATAAAACCCCCTTCAAATCATTCAGCAACTTGTTTTTATTTTTTTCTATGTTGATACATTTTGCAGTACTTCACTTAACCATTGCACAGGATTCCACTGTATGCATATGCCACAACTGATTTATCCACTCCCTCTCTGATGGACATTTAGATCAGTCAAAATTTTCTGCTAAAATAAGCAATGTCAAATGGAACATGATCTATATGTTTCTGTGTGCACACTTGAGAGTGTTACTCTACCTATACAGCTATATCTGGAAGCACATTTCTCCAATCTATAAGATGTAGATACATGCTAGTTTAACATCTTTTCAGATTGTCAAATTGTTATCACATGTGGTTAAAACAAAAACTCTGCAATATGTTGTATTTGCTTCTTTACATTGTCATCAACAGTTGATATTGTTAGACTTATAAATTATTTTCTAGTCTATGTGTAAATATCTCAATATTTTACTTTGTGTTTCTCCAATTACAATTACATTTGGGCATCTTTTTATGTTTAGTAAAACATTCTAGTCCTGGGGCGGTGGCTCACACCTGTAATCCCAGCATTTTGGGAGGCTGAGATGGGAGAATTGCTTGAGCTCATGAGTTCGAGACTAGCCTGGACAACATAGTGAGACCTTGTCTCTACCACCACCACCACCAATAACAACAACAAAAATTGAGTGTCCTCTTTCCAAAAGCCCCTAATCATAACATTTACTCATTTTTTAACTGGATTTCTTTACCTCTTTCTTAGTGATCTGTATGATTTATTTATGTAGTCTGGCAGTTGATCTTCTGTAGTTATGCATAATTGGAAAAATGTTCTCAAAGTCTATGGCTTATTTTTAACTGTATGATGTTTCTAATTTCAGGGCAGTACAATGCATTGAAAATTGTTTACAGCTTGGAAGTTTTATGTCTTGTTTTGAAAGTTTTTTCTTATACTGGCATACCTCATTTTATTGCATGTCACTTTATATTGCTCTGCAGATATTGCACTTCTATTACAAAATGGTTTGTGACAACCATTGCATTGAGCAACTTTATTCGCACCCTTTTTCCAATAGCATGCGCTTGCTTCATGTCTGTGTGTCACATTTTGGCAATTCTTACAATATTTCAAATTTTTTTATTATCATTATATTTGTTAGGGTGATCTGTGATCAGTGATCTTTGATCTTTGTGTTTTTTGATGTTACTATTAAATTGTTTTGGGTTGCCATGAACCCCAGCCATATACGATGGTGAACTTAATTGATAAATGTTGTGTGTGTTTTGACTGCTCCACCACGTGGCCTTTCCCCATCCTGCTCCTTCTCAGACCTCTCCATTTCCTGAGACACAGTAATATTGAAATTAGGTCACTTAACAACCCTACAATGGCCTCTGAGTGTTCAAGTGAAATGAAAACTCACATGTCTCAAATTTTCTTAAATCAAAATCAAGAAAGGACTAAGCTTAGTAAAGAAGGTATGTTGAAAGCCAAGGCAAATGAAAAGCTAGACCTCTTATACCAAATAGCCAAGTTGTAAATACAAAGGAAAAGTTCTTGAGGGAAATTAAAATTGCTACTCCACTGAACACACAAATTATAAGAAAGCAGAACAGCCTTCTGACAGATATGAGAATATCAGAGGTCCTCATAGAAACCCAGACCAGCCACAGCACTTCTTTAAGCCATAGCCTAATCCAGAGCAATTCCCTAACTCTCTTCAATTCTGTGAAGGCTGAGAGAGGCGAGGAAGTTACAGAAGGAAAGTTTGAAGCTAGCAAAGGTTAGTTTATGAGGTTTAAGAAAAATACAAGGGAAGGAACAAGTTCTGATGTAGAAGCTGCTGCAAGTTATCCAGAAGATCCAGCTAAGATAATTGATGAAGGTGGCTACACTAAATAACAGATTTTCAATGAAGAAGACATGGCCTTATATTGGAAGAAGATGCCATCTAAGACTTCTGTAGCTATAGAGGAGAAGTCAATGCCTGGTTTCAAAGCTTCAAAGAACAGGCTGACTCTCTTGTTAAGGGCTAATGCAGCTGGTGACATTCAGTGGAACCCGATACTTGTTTACCATTCTGAAAATCCTAGGCCCCTTAAGAATTATGCCAAATATACTCTGTCTGTGCTTTATAAATGGAACAACAAAGCCTGGATGACAGCACATCTATCTGCAGCATGGTTTACTGAATACCTTAAGCCCACTGTTTAGATCTACTGCTCAGACAAATATATTTCTTTTAAATATTATTGCTCATCAGGAATTCACCTAGTCATCCAAGAGCTCTGAGAGAGATGTACAAGGAGATTAATGTTGTTTTTATCCTTGCTAATGCAACATCTATTCTGCAGTCTGAGCATCAAGGAGTAATTTCGACTTGCAAGCCTTATTATTTAGGTAATAAAGTTGGTAAGGCTATAACTGTCATAGATAATGATTCCTTTGATGGATCTGAAAAGGATTCACCATCCTAGATATCATAGCATTCATGACTCATTGAAGGAGGTCAAAATATCAACATAAACAAGTTCGAAAGAAGTTGATTTTAATTTTCATGGATGACTTTGAGGGGCTCAAGACTTCAGTGGAGGAAGTCTCTGCAGATGTGGTGTAAAGAGCAAGAGAACTGGCATTAGAAGTGGAATCTGATGATGTGACTGAATTAATGATAATCACCTTATGATAAAACTTTAGCAAATGAGGAGTTGCTTCATGGGGGTCAGCAGAGAAAGTGGTTTTTACTTTCTGAGACGGAATTTACTCCTGGATGAAGATGCTGTGAACATTGTTGAAATGACTACAAAGGATTTAGGATATTACGTAAACTTAGTTGATAAAGCAGTGGCAGGCTTTGAGAGAATTGACTTCAATGTTGAAAGAAGTTCTACTGTGGACAAAATGCTCCCAAACAGCGTGAATGCTTCAGAGAAATATTTTGTGAAAGGAAAAGTCAATTGATATGGCAACCTTCATTGTTATTTACTTTAAGAAATTGCCACAGCCACCTCAATCTTCAGCTACCACCTCTCTGATCAGTCAGCAGCCATCAAACATTGAGGCAAGACCCTCCACCAGCAAAGATTGTGACTCACTGAAGGCTCAGATTATTATTAGCATTTTTAGCAACAAAGTATTTTTAATTAAGATATATACATACATTTTCATTTCACACATAATTATATTGCACACGTAATGAACTGCAATATAGTGTAAACATAACTTCTATATGCACTGCAAAACCAAAAAATTCATGTGACTTGCTTTAAATGATATACTCTTTATTGTGGTAATCTGAATACAAATCCGTGTATCTGTGAGATATACCAGTATACAACACAGTACAGTGGACTCCAGAGCAACTTAGGGGTTAGGGGAACTCACAAATCAAAATCTGTATATAACATTTGACTCCCCCACAACTTAACCACTAATAGGCTACTGTTGACCAGAAGATTTACAGATAATGTGAACAGTCAGTTCACACATATTTTTTTCTGATATGTATTCTTTTCTTATATGTATTGTTATATGTATTTTGGTTATTAGAATATTTTACCATATTCTTACATAAAGTAAGTAGAGAAAAGGAAATGTTATTAAGAAAAACCATAAGAAAGATAATATATATATATATATTTATTATTCACTAAGTGGAAGTTGATCATCATGAGGATCTTCATCCTCATTGTCTTCACATTGAGTAGGCTGAGGAGGAGGAAGAAGAGCAGGGGTTAGTCTTATTGTCTCAGGGGTCATGGTTACCCTGCAAGTTTCTTCAAACTGTTGTAAATCTCCAAAAAAAATTGGTATATTTATTTTAAAAAATCCATGCATAACTCTTGTTTCTCTTCAGATCATGTAAATCTTTCGCCTTTTATTAAAGATTTCCATGGGGAGGAACAGTTATGAGTCTTTATCCAATTTCTGAGGCCTCGTGTTTCACCAGGCTAAATTGTGAGTGTTAAAAATTAGACCAGCCTGTCCAACATGATGAAACCCCATCTCTACTAAAAATACAAAAAACTAGCCGGGCATGATGGCGGGCGCCTGTAGTCCCAGCTACTCAGGAGGATGAGGCAGGAGAATAGCTTGAGCCCAGGAGGTGGAGGTTGCAGTGAGCTGAGATCGCGCCACTGCACTCCAGCCTGGGCGACAGAGGGAGACTCCGTCGCAAAAAAAAAAAAAAAAAAAAAAAAAAAAAAAAAAAAAAAAAAAAAAAAAAAATTCCATGCATAAATAAACCCACACGGTTCAAATTTCTGTTGTTTGATGGTTAACTATAGTGTTAACTGTAGCCACCATATTAAACATTAGATCCTCAGAAACTGAAAGTTTGGACTCTTTGACTAACATCTCCTCATCTACCCCATGCACCATTGGTAACCATCATTTTACTCTGTTTCTGTGAGTTTGACTGTTTTTTTTTTTTAAGATTCCACATATAAGTGATGTCATAGTTTTTCTTTCTCTTTTTGAGTTATTTTACTTAGCGTAATTCTTTCCAGGTTCATCCATGTTGTTGCAAATGGCAGCATGGATGAACCTGTTTGAATAATATTTTACTGTGTAATTATACTACATTTAAAAATTCATTCACTGATGGACACTAAGATCGTTCCTATATCTCGTCTATTGTGAACAATACTGTAATGAACATGGGCATGTGCAGATACCTCTTCAAAATAGTAACTTAATTCCTTTAGACCTATACCCAGAAGTGAAACTCGTGGATCATCTGGTAGCTCTATGTTTAAGTTTTTTGAGGAACTTCATATTGTTTTCCATAATGGCTATACCAATTTACGTTGTCACCAAACTGTACAAGGGTTCCCTTTTCCCATATCTTCAACAACACTAGTTATTTCTTGTCATGAGACTGATTTTTATAATGCCCCTGAAAGTAGTAAAATAGCATAATACCTAAGTAAAATTTAAAAAAAAGTCTATGAGGGGCTAGACAACGAGATGCAGATTCACAACCCTCTAATAATCTTTCTTAACGCAAGGAGAGATTTAGAAGTATTTTTCAAACTGTGATTGACACCCATGGGTGAGTCATAAAGTCACTTTGGTGAGTCACAACCATTATTTTTGAAAAGAAAGAAATAAAAGAGCATAGATTAGAATAGAATACCAATTCTTAATGGCATTAAGTATATTTTCATGAAATGTGTATGTGCCTGCATGTGTATGTGTGTGCACATGTACTCTCACATGATCATGGTGTAAGTTTTTTCTTCTCGTGATTTACAAAATGTTTTTTTCTTTTTTTTTTTTGTTTGCACACCAGAGTAGCCACATATACAAAAACTTGTGAAAGACACTGAATTTAGAGAAGGAGGGAAGAATAGACAGTGTGTTTTTCTAGGCACTAATATATAGAAAGGAGAGGAGGATTTGAAGTTATAGTATATCAGTATTATCTGACATTTATCAATACATTTCATCTGAATCAGCCCTGTGTTCTGCATTTTACATGAAAGATCTAATTTAATTTTTACCACAGTACCATGGGATAGGGCTTATTAATGATAATAAATATTTTATGAGGAGAAAACTAAGAATTAGAGAAACCCAATAACTTGACAAAAATGTCAAAGTATGCATTGGGAAGAGACAAAACTCAAGCCTAGGAAAGCTTAGTTCTGAACCTGTGCCTTGAACCATTATGCTATAAGATTTTTAGAGCAAACATTCTGTATGGTGAGTTATGGACCAGTTTATAAGCTTTAACTGTTGCTTAGACTAGTGGTTCAATGCCCTTGCTGTTTTCGCCCTGCCATTTCTCAGATCATGCCTTTCCAGGTACAGTGCACAACATTCACTTCATGTTTGAACTACTAGAAGATTCTTTTCCCAAGCCTCTTGCTCTCCTCTGATCTAGCCCAAATGTAACAACAGGGCATCTTCCTCTAGAGTCTTTGGATTGTTGTCACTCTCTAGTAATAGCTTTTACATTTCTTCATTGTTTATTTTAATCAAACCAAAATGCCTTGGGAAGTTATTTAATTTCCCTGAATACGGTTTGCTATTCTGTAAATAAAAATAATATTATTTCAGTGTTGAAATGGTCAAAAGAGATAATATGTGCAAAACAATGTACACATTGCATGAGAAATGACATGGATCCAATAAATGAGAACTATTTTTATTAATATGATAGAATATAATGTGTATTTGATAATTAACAAATATTTAGAGTATTCTTAGTGATTTATTAGTCTAATTAAGCTTCCAGGCAGGCCCTCTACTAATTTCTCCTTCTTACCTCTTTTAGTTTTCATCCCCCATCTATTAGCTGTTCTCCAACTCTGAATTTATCATCCTTGACTTTGACCTTTCACATGTTAAATTCCTCTAGTCTGACATGTTCTCTTCATTGTGAACTATGGTCCTTTTCATTCAAAACTCTATCTAGAACACATAGCCTTCACAAAAACTTTCGGTTAATGATAGTTTCTTCAGTAATTGTTGCAATTACACTGCATATGTTGGTATCTGCTTGGGCTTAGCTCTAATTATAGCCACATATCCTGAAATCCAAGGAAAGACTCTATGTGGTATGTGGTGTCACTTGAGTTTGTCCAGCTCTCCTATAGACATGAAGCTCCCAGAGGAGGGTCACGTTTATGAGTTAGTTACACCTTTTATGGAGGGCTCTATCTGAACAGCGGAGCTATCCCTCGTAACTGTCAAGCCCTTTGGTGTTTTTGTAATGTTCCCTCTTGAGAAGGCTATATATGGTATCACAAAACCCCATTTCTCTTGCTGAGCCCCAAAGAAGATGCTGATTTCATTTTCGGATGACGTGTTCTTATATTCTCCCTTGAACCCCTTTACCATTTATACCATCCAAAAAATCATGCTAATGTCCCCTCCTCCAGCAAGGGAATGACCTATAAATTACATGGCATTTTTCTTGATTGTATTGATATATAGTCTAATTTTTATTATTAGGCATTTTGTGATTATTTTAAGAAGCTATGCCAAAAGGTTGTGTGGGCAGCCTGAGTCTCAAGAGGCTTTAATGATAATATCTTGGCTCAGAAAGGATATGATGTTTATTGACTATTTCTCTAAGCAATAGAAGTCTTTATTGAACAGTGAATGCTTTCAATGTTGCGTTTCATATTTGTAGGATTAAAAAGGTTATATGCAAAATAAATCAGGCAATATCAGCTTGGCTCAGTCCCATTCCATAAACCTCAGCTCATGTAAAGCTACAAGATTGATTTCTCAATATTCAATTTCTCAGTGGAGCAAATAGTCAAGACATGCATTAGACTCTGCTCTTAAAAAAAAGGCTTTAGCATTTGCTCTTTCACGCATATTGATATTGGCTAGATCTTCAATTTGCTTCGGATTTTTCCCATCTTTTCCATGTCCCGCATTACCTCCAAAGTCAATAATAGTTTAGTGCATGGAAGAGTCACAGCAGTTTGAAATAGAACGTGAATATATTTGATTTTAAAAAAACAGTCCAAGTGTTTGTAAACTATGAGGCTTAATTCTAGCACCTTCTCTCAGGCAACACTTGCATTGAGATCAGGGGAAAGTTGGCTCAACTAAAACCCCATCCAACCAACATGCAGAAATAACTTTACCTATAATCTCTGTGCTAACACTGAAATCTAGCTACTTCTGATTTTCATAAAGGCACATAACAACAATGCACAACAGACGAATGGAAGAAACTGAGTACTACTTTCAGGGTTTTCTCTGTATGCGTTGTACTTGGGGTTATAGAGTGCCCAGGGATGTATATTCCTTCCCAGCGTGACTTGAAATTGGAAATAAATATGCTGGAATGCAATTTGCTTGAGGCAAAATGTTATGTTAGAACACATTATTCTAGCAATATCGTTTATATGTAGTTTATATGTAATATCACTATTTTTGGTGCAGATTATTTGAATAACAAGTTCAAAAGCAATAGTTGTTTTGTGTTAAAACTAAGAAACTGTGCAGTATTCAGTTCATCAGTAGTGAAATTATCAGTGGATACTGCACAGTTTCTTAGTCTTTAACACAAAATATTATATGTACTATACCTAACATTAAATAGGTACTGTTGCCTTACAGTGAGAGAACACCTCAGGCAGAAAGAAACCAGTGATCACAGCTGTCTGTCTCTCCTCCAGGGGTTTCACCTCTTGTCTGTTTCAGCCTCAGCCTCATCAGCTGCTAGGGAAAAAGAAGGGGAGGGAGTGTTATCCAGCTGAGATGGCAGCTGCCACCACCCTGCCTGTGCCCTCCAGCTTTCTAATCACAAGGTGGAACATTTTCAAGGGGAAGTTTATTGGAAAAGTAAAAGGAAAACAAAACAAAGCCCCAAGTGAAAGGACAAACATAAAGAAACAGACACATTTTCAGATAACAGCTGTTTTAAGTTTTAAAGTTTACCCCAGACTAGCTGGCGGTGGCCTGGGCACAGGAAGCCAAGCTTGTATCTACACTGAAGCTTTTGTCTGACCAAACTACACCGACTTAAGCTTTAAGTTCTTTTGTCTTGTCTCAGTGTTAGAACCAGAATGATCGCCGGGACCCATGGGGATTTTGAATGTTCTTCATTAACTCAGAAAATTAATGCTATTCTTCCACTTGTTTCACTTTCTACGTTCACTTCTAGTGGCTCCTGTGGGTCCTGGCTTGGAAAGAGAAGGGAACAGCACTTTCTGGCCCATAGTGCTTTCTCTAGTCTTTGGAAAATGGAATTCACTGTGATACCAGCATTTATATTGTGAAGTAGTCTCAAAGTGTCTAAAATTCCTGCTTTGCTTTTGACCGGTTTAGGACTCTCTGTCTGGTTCTTCGGAAGCAAGTTCGTAATTCAATAGGTAGACTGGGTTTGAGTCATAGCTTGTTTACTTTTCTCACCTGGGCTTGTTAGCAGTCACCTGGTCTTGTTATTAAGAATCACACTCCCAGGCACTTTAAATAGTTAACATGTGCTTCTTATTTCAGACCTTGCACAGATGGTTGGACCATCCGTGAGGTCTTTACTCTTTCCTGAGAAATGCTTCTAGCTGTGATCACTTTTGGAGATTCTTTCATTCAACCCACTTAAACCTCCCTCCTGGATTTGACTCACTGTAGTTTAGAACATTAACAAAATAACAAAGAATTTCACTTTCAATTTTACTTTATCTTTAAAGATTAAATTGTAGTCTGGTGAACCATGAGATTTAGAAAATGGAAAACTAAGTGCAAGTGTGAGATGTAGCTTTCATAGGTAGTTAATTCAGATATAGACAAATATTAGCACTGAAGATGGAATCTCACCCCATGTGCATGTGCCCTTGATGTTTAAGATTGAACTCACAATTTTACTTCCCGAAAGACTTCCTTATTTTTGTCCGACACAGAAAGTTGAATAAAAACTAGACTTGAGTACCTGGGAATGAACTTGAGTCAATTCAATTCTTAATGTTTATCAAATCACTCACAAATCTCATAGATTATTCATCCCAAAGGATCTCTTCTCAATTCTTTTAACTTTAGTCTCCTTGCCACATTAGTCCTGGCTTTTTGTGATGCCTCCTAGACATCTTTCCAGGCTACACTCTAACCTGTATTTTGTTCCTTGTGCTTACATTCTCTAGTTTAATCTTTAAGAATGTTGCTTTTATATTGTTCCTTTAGTTATTTCCACACTCCAAGGATTATTTCCAAATTACTTCAACTGACATTCCCTATTTCTCCTTTGCCCTCATTATATTTCTTAATATTCATAATAATGTTGAATTATGGTATTTGTGACTCCTCACAACATGAAACAAAACACCTATGTAGTCTCATTTCTGCAGTTTCTTTTATCAGACCCCTTTTGCATTTTAATCCACAATCACCATTCATTGTCTGCTCTGTGAGCTTTACTGCCTTTGCTCCCATTATTCCTCTACCATAAACATCATCTCCATTTTCAACATATACAAATCCTATCCCAGCTAAAATTAAACTCTTCATCTCAGACAATAAGGATCCTATCTTACTCCTCTTTGTATTCTGGATTCTTAGAAGAGTATATGCGAGTAGTGGACTACCAAAACAAGAATAAAATAATGCATGAATAAACTAATATGAACACTCTGTTGACTCCTTGAATTTTCTGAAAATACCATTTTTGTCTCTCAGCCTTTTCTGAAGTTATTTTATTTCCTCAATGTTATCTTCTTCTGCCTCTGTTAACATTCAGGGCTAACTGAGCTTTGCAAAGCCTTCTCTCGCTAGGCTTCATCATATTCCTTCCCTGAGTTCTCATAATTAACTGAGCCATACCACACAATCTGGCCCTTCATCATGCAGTCTTTTGTTGTTCTTCAATTGTTTCAAAGTATGTAAATCTCATCTGCCCATGTTGACAGTGCTCTACCTTCTCAAGGACAAAGATTGTGTCTTCACTATGCTGCACAAATCTATCACAGTGCAACGTCAACAGAGGAAAACAGTCGTTGAGATGACCCTCCAGCTGAATGAAGTCAGCCTTCAAAACTTTTAAAAATAGAATGTTGACCTTGCCAACTGAGAGTGTGGTAGCCAAAGCATATGGATCGTTCTTTCCTCAACAACAGAAAATAGCAGCAGCACACCAGGCTCTTGTGACAATGTGTCCTTGAAGTGACTGCTATTTGGCTCCTTTCAGAACTCCAGTTGAGTGATATGTTCATAGAAGGAAGTCTAAGGCAACCATTCTCAACATTAGACTTTACACCAGCTATTTCAGAATACACAGAGAATCTGTTAAAATTCAGATTCCAAGCTTATACTGGTTTATGAGAAAGTTTCTCACCTTAACCTCTGTTTCTTCTAATCCAGACATTCTTAGGTTATGCAATAAATATACTGCCCACTTTTTTATTGCTGGGTGAGTAGCGTCAGCATTGTGTGGTGGCTAGGATAGCCTTGCCTCTGGAGGCTTCCTGTGGGCTTGCCTTCATCTTATTCACTTAAAAGGTGTGTACATTTGATCAAGTCACCTGTTAAGCCTCAGTTTCCTCATTTGTATAAGGGGATATTAAATGACTGGCTCTTATGGTTGCTGTGCAGGTAACACACACATTTAGGAAACACACTTAACACTGCCTAGCTTATGGTGAGAATTAATTAAATATTAGCTATTTTTACTACTTAAAATGGCCCATTTTGGGAAGTACAAATAGCTAATATTTATTTTATATGACTCGTGCTTCTGCATAATCTGTAGACTGTTGAAATTACTGCATATTTCAAAGATAAAGAAAAACTTTCTTAAAATTTTATAAAAGTTGTGTTTTTGTTTCCGTCTCTAGAAAATGTAGTAGGTTATGGAAATTTTAATTCATTATGAAAAATATGGTAGGCTGTGTTTTATCAGATCATAAGAATTATATAACTTGATATTTTTCCTTTTTTATGCTTATCTGAAAATTCAGAATTGAATTTAAAAATTACTCACTTAATCCATATTAATTAGGGAGGATGATATACTTCTCATTCACCAACATGAATTTATGTTTTCATTATTTTTAATACAATCTTATTCTCATTAGTCTGAACCTTTTTTGTTTTAAAGAATAGGCTACTTTTAAAAAGTAAATAGTTACTTAATCTCCTCAGCTTGTCAGAAGTTGTCAATTTAATTATTTTTAAAATTTTATTTTTGAAAAGGTAATGGATTCATGTGGTTTAAAGTGTGATACAATAAAATAACTGTTTCTCCATCCCTGCCACCATCTACTCAATCATGAATACTCATTTTTATTCATTTGTATGTATACTTTCAAATTTTCTTGATGCATATAAAAACAAACATGAATACATATCATTTCATACATTTTACATAAAAATTGAATGTTCTGCGTAATGATTTGCATCTCTTTTTTTAATCTGAAAGATTTTCTGGAGATCTTATATCAGTGGGTGAAATGCTGTTGCATTGATTTTTAAGCTACATATCATTTCATTATATGGATTTATAGTACATATATTATTCATTATATGGATTTATAATACATATAATGGATTATATACATTATATGTATTTAGCAAGTCTATTTAGCTTGTTTACAGTCTTGTGTTATTATAAATAAGTGCAGTGAGTAACCTTATACATAAGTCTTTTTGTGTATATATGTATATCTGTAGGATACATTCTCTAAGATTACTTCATCAAAGAATATTTATTTGTAATTTTGATAGATATTATCAAAGAGTCTTCAGTAAAAGAGCATATAAGAATGTATGAGAATGTCTATTCCTACAAATTCACTGATACTGTTATCACATTTTTGGATTTTGCCAATTTGATAGGCTTAAGGGAGGTAAGATTTGGCATCTTCACATATTGAAATGTGATTTGTGTTTTCCTTTTATTAATTGCCTGTGTATGTGGCCTTTGCCCATTTTTAAAAAATTGGGTTGTAAGCCTTTTAAAATCAATGTCTTAGAGTCCTTTATTTATTCAAAAGATTAACGTTTTATTTTCCCATCCTGACAGTTTGTCATTTTTCTTTTGTGAACTTTTTATTTTGAAAAGTTGCCAAAGTTTGTTGTTACTGAGTACCATTCGCGTAGGAATTGCTAAAATGAACTTAGCTAAAGGCAGTATTTTCTGGAGCAGCAAGTTTTTATCTAAGTTTCAGGAAGCCTCAGGCTTCCACAAGACATGTCTGTGGAGTTTCTTGAAATACAGTATGGTTACAAGTTAAATGTTAAAAATGCATGTTTTCTATCTCCACCATGCCATGCCAGAAAGCTGTACCCAAGGATGGCATGACAAGACATAGATATATGTAGAAACGTATACAAGTTAAAAAACTACCCATCTAGTAAATAAAGCTCTGAACTATGGGAAAAGATTTTACATTTCTTTCATTTCCAATTTTCTATTTTTGTGTCTCATTATTACTCTATGCCAGTAGATTCCTCCCACCCCTCCTTTTTTTTTTTTTTTTTTTTTTAAGTATTTGAGCTTTCTCTTTTTTTCTTCAGAGGGAACTTTATGAGGAGCACTGAAGTGGAGCTTCTGTGGTTGAAGGCAGGATGGAGGGAATGGTAGGCCCTAACGCCTCTGCATCTGTTCATCCCTACTTTTTTCTTTCTCCTTCTCATTCTGCCATACCTAGAGGCTCCAGATGCACTCAGAAAGACCCTAGGACTCCACTGATGTAGTTTAGAAATCTTGGCTGTGGTCTACCTCCTTAAGAATGATGTAATGCCAACTCTTTCTTCCAGGAACTTTGTGTATTTCCATATCTGTCTACCCTTGCTTAGTAGAAATGGCTTTCTTATGTATAATGTCAATCAAACATCTTGCATAATTATCTTCTTAATCTACTTTTTATTGAAATGGAAATAATGTCTCTATAGTAATCAGATTCATAAAATTTCTAGCAATTTGGTGGTAAGGGAGTGCCTTTAAGACTACTATATAAAGCTTGCACCAGTGGAGGAATTGCTTCAATATTTCTAGCCCAGCATCACATGGTCTAATCATACATGGTCTAATTTGTGGCTATCCCACAAACAGCTGCTTTCATTTTGCTCCAAGTCTTACTATTTGAAAGTTTCATTTTATTTTGAACCTTCTTGTGCCTTCCACCCACGGATCCAACCTTGGCTCTCTAGAGCATCACAGAATAAAATTCACTTTTCTTCAATAAGCACAATTATTTAAAGAAAGTTACCACATCCCCTTCTTTATTCTATTTTCCAATTTCAGTTCTCTCAGTTAACTTTTGTTGTTCCTTCCACTATATCTCAAATCAAAGAGATGGTAATAAAATCCTGACTGCTATCCTCTAGACTCATTCCAGTGTGTCAATGGCTGCTTTAAAAAGTGGCAGTGCCAAGGGAACACAGTACTGCATGTAGGGACTGGCAGGTACGTAGAACCTAAGACTGGGTAATCCATGTAATCTAAATAGTACTTCTTCTGTTCTTTTTCCTATTTTGCTTTTTGTGAGGCTTTAATTTGCCTTGAAATCTGAATCATCAAAATTTGTCATGGAACAGCGCATGAAGTTTTGTCTATACAGACTTAGGTGACCCCGGCCTTTGAAGCTAGAAGAGTATCTAGTGATCATTTAGTCTAACTGGTTCATTTACAGATGGAGGAAAATTTAAGAAGATATGCCGAGTGGGAGAGCTTTCTGAAAAGTTCACATCTTCCTTAAGGGATGTACACAATGGGACATTCAGAAGGCCTGTAGCCGTATGTCATTTAATACTCTCTATAATAACCCAATTTCCCCAGTGCCACATGTGGTAGGCAGAACAATGACCCTCCAAAGACGTGCATGTCCTATGTCCCAGAATCCATAAACATGTTACCTTAGATGGCAAAAGAGATTTTGCAGATGTGATTATGGTTCAAACCCCCCTGGGTTATACTGGTAGGCCTGATCTGATTACATGCATCTCTAAAAGTAGAAAATTTTTTCTGGATGCAGTCAGAGAAAAATGTGACAGAGGAAGAAGGACCAGAGATAGGCAACATCGCTGGTCTTGAAGGTGCAGCAAGGAGGCAAGAGCCAAGAAAGGAGGACAACATTCTCCCCCAGAGTTTCCAGAAGGAAATGTAGCTCAGTCAACACCTTGAGTTTAGCACAGTGATGCCCCATATTAGATTTCTTTCCTACAGAACTCTAAGATAATATGTATTGTTTTAAGCTACTAAGTTTCTGGTAACTAGTTAGCAGAATAGAAGTTGCAGCAATAGAAAACAAATACCAGACAAGCCCAAACACTAAGCCAAATGCATTCACAGCTTTTTGGGCCCCAAACGTTAAAAATATGCAATATGTGCAAAGTATTATGGAGCCAAATTTCCCTTGTTTGATAGCCATATCCTCATAATGAGCTAGGCCCTTTTAGAAATTGCATTAATAACTCAGGGTACCATTTAGCCATTATTGCTTCAGTGTGTTAGCTCTTATCCTGATGATGATGGCCTAAATCTCCTAAGTCGCTCCCAGGGAATTGCTCCTGTACCGGGAAAAGTATCAATTTAGATTAATCTTTCATATTATCACTTTTAGAAAGCATGTTTGTAGAGCATTTTGGAACCGTCTCTGCTTTACACCTGGGTTCACGTGGCACTCGTTTCCATAATAAAGGCCAATTTATACTAAGTATGTTTCTAAACCAAGTTAGAGTTTTATTAATTTACTAAGTGCTTGGAGACAGCACAATTTTCCCTAAGAAGTTGAAAGCAATGGAGACTGCTTTAAGGCCTTTTTCCAAATATGTAGTTTCACAAATTCACTGCCACCTGGGTATTCCTTCATGGGTTGGAGCAGAGATGTGTTTGTATTTCATGGCCTTAAACTGCCTTTCAAAGAACAAATAATCCTTACTAGTTATTATTTTGTGCTAAGTAATGGACATACATTACTGAACATAAATTTCTACATCTAATCATCAAAACTCTATGAGGACAGTATTCTGAAGCCCTATTTCAGATGAGGAAACAAATTTGGTGAGAATAAGTCACATATTCAAGTGCACATAATTTATAATTGCTGAAATGAGACTCCCACGATGACTGGTCTTACCCCAAAACCTGTGCTCTATCTATTTCTACATGTTGCCTATTCATTTCTTTATTCCACAGTCTCTGGAATGTGATGGGAACTCTGCAAAGGTTATTTTGTGGATAATGAGTGAATGAATGAATAAAGCCTAGAGAGAGGTAATGAAGAACTTGTGCTTATATCTTCACAACAGTATTAGGGATTTTTATAGGTATTTATAGGTATTTTTTATAAAGTCATTATGAAGATCTAATTAAGCTAAAAAATTTGAAGCAAAAAATAAACCTTTAAAAATAGATATAATGTTTTATATCTGCATTTCACTCTCTTTCTTTCAATGGTGTAAACACACACACACACTAATGTGGTTAGTGGATTTGTTTTCAAGTACAGTGCATGCCTCTGTAAGATGGACAGTTCCTTGCCCTCATCCAGAATATGTAAATACAAAGATTCCTGGGCAGAACAAGGAGACAAGATGAATGTTATACAGTGGTTAGGCTTTAATGTTAACTTCAGAGCAGGCTTTGACACAATGCTGAAATTTTAAGCTGTTGTAAATTTTGTGTGACAGGTAGGCTTTGAAAAAGTTAAAAAAAAGTCACGGAATTGAACTTTCTTTATGTGGTTTTCAAACTTTATTTTTTATTTTTTTAAGCAGCTGAACTCTTTTTTAAAAGAAAAAAAATGGAACCTAGTATATAAAACACTTATGAGGATGAGCTGCTTTGAATGATGTGGGGATAAGGGACCCAGAGCCTCACTTGCTCAACTCCAATTCCCAAGTCACCCCCTATTGAAATTCTAGTGCTCCAGAAAGCCCAGTGTAAAAATTACTGTATTAATGATTCTACCTTTTGCAGAGTTCTTCAAACTATAGTAAACAGAGAATGTTGTGTAAGATTTACTGTTACATGACCTTTATCATTTGACTCATATAAATGTCTATTTTATCACTGGAAATACTTGATATTTCCAAGGTCATTCATTTCATGAAAATACACATATTTTATTTCCTGGACATCCTAGGAATCAAAATGAAATGACTGCTTTTAGATAGCTTTAGTCTAGTGCACATGGAGATTTTTCTGGATGTGGATTCTGTTTCGTATGTGATATGTCAGACACTAAGCATGGAACACACAGGACAGGGATCCTATTGGTTTGTCTTGTAAACAGGAAGTTCTCAGTACAGCTTTGTTGGATAGACGGTTGAAGTGAATTCATTGTTCTATGGTGAAAATCATCAAGTATCAAGTTCAAAGATGAACAAATATCTTTTTAAGATAATTATCACTGACATGGTTTTCTGCCCCTTCATTATTTGTTCAATATTGAAGTAAAGTAATAGGGCTTAAGGCAGATTTTTAGCTATAGCTTTTAGGGATTTCAGCTAAATACTAGACATTTTCTAGCTAATTCCTGCTACTGTTTATCTCAGCAATTACTAAATGTCAAAGAACCATGAAATGTGTTAGGCATGATATTACTTGATCCTCACAACGTTGACAGGAATTACAATTATTTCCATTTATATAAGAGAAAACTGACACCAAGAGAGGTCTATTAACTTGTCTGGCGTCATCAAGTTTGTAAATGTTAAGGCTGGGACTTGAGGTCAAGTCTTCCTGGCTCTAGAACTCTAATACTCAACAGCCTGCCTGCTCGGAGTTACTGCATAATTTTTGAAGAACTTACAATGTTCTATTTTGACTTGAGGCATGCTTGGAATTACAATTATGCCAAACAACAGTGAAAGCACATCTAGTACTTTATCACAAGGAAAACTTATTCTACATTATCCTGACCATGGGGAAAGACTTGTATTTTGGTAAGCCAATTGTTGCTTACTTATTCTCTGACCTAACACACTCTCCTTCTAGCACCCCAAGCTGTTTCCACAGGGCTATAATGCAAATTCGGATACATTTCTTTATGGACCTTGAAATCAGACTGTTTGGCAGAGAACATAGTCCACATTATTTTGGAAAGCCAGCTGTATCACCGGAGTCTACTTTTATTTAATCTTTTACAGCCAAGAAATCTATGGCATGTTTTTGCCAGTCTCCCTGATATTTACATGGATGATGAAATGTCCCCAAATTTCACTGAACCACAGCAAACACTTTGACTACTATTGTGGCAGGACTGTAATAACATTGAGTGCCCCTTCAGGAGGTCGAGGGAAAGATGGCTGTGCATACTGAAGAGAAATGGCAGCAATACTAAAAAGGTCCCCAAAGTGGCAGCTGCCTGTTGTGCTCTTTGATGCCTTGCATGGGAAGGTGAGGGGAAATTATTTAAACAAGTGAACTCAGGAGACCAGTACATTACCATTGCCTTATTTCATTGTGGAAGACAAACATGCTCACTGGAGCCAAATAAGAACTAGATACTGCCCTTTAGATTCCATATTGATACTTACTCTAAAATCAGGGCAAATTTTATTGAACTAATCAAAATAATGTGAATTGCATATTTTATTATTTAAAAGCATCACACTCAAAAAAAATCAAATGAATAAAAAATAAACTATATAGCTATACAGATTAATCTCAGTAAGCATAATCCCAGTAAGCATAGCCTTATTGTTTTATTCTTGTCTTCATTTCTACAAAAGTCACCAAAGTTTCTCTTCTCTGCCTTCACATATGGAAGCGTATGTGGGTGGTGAGCAATCTGTTGTGGTGCTTGAAGACTATGAAGCTACATCAGATAGGACAGGGTAAGTGGTGGAAGGAGGCCAGATCTGACATGAGTAGGATCATCTCTCGGGGTGTTTGAAGTCTAAAGTTATTTTATTGTCCTTTGCAAAAAATATGAAAGGGTTTCATCTCTGAATGCGTATTGAACTGTCTTCACATAAAATCTAAATCCAAGTTGGAATTCAAACTTTTCGTGTCTCCCCTTTCACCTACTCGTCTTCCATTTTATTTCCCTAAGCTTTGTATGGTCTTTTGTCCACCTTCTTTTACAGACCTGCCCCCAACCAGGGACATTCCCTTGCTTCTTTGAGCCACACAAATATTTGCAGTGCTTCACTGAATTGGCCTCCTTGCCATACTTTGGTTAGCACAAACACTGCCTGCAGTGATTATAAGCTTCCTAGTCCCTGGATTCTTACTCACGAGAGGCTTAAAAGACAGGTTAGGAAGTGTTTGTTTTCTTAACTGAGAGACCTGTCCTGCAAAATATTTTGCAACTAAAATGTAATGACAGTCTCCATTCAGACGTGAAACAGGCTAATGAGCAGGCTGTTTACATCTTTCTTTTACATTTTATTTTTTTTCAAGCTTTGGAATTATTGTAACTTATGAAAATTTGTCTGTATACTGTCCCGCATAAATCATTTGGCCTCACAAACAAGTTGCTTAAGGCCTTGGAGTTATAGGAAATAAAACCATATTTGCAACATTTTTAAAAAGAAAATAAAACAGAAGACAAAGACAAAAAGCAACTCATGCTTTGGTTCTTTAGAAAAATCACTTTAGCAATGATTAGGACAGAAATTACCAGAATCAAGTGAATAGCAAGCAAGAGGTGCTTACCTATTTTTAGGAGTAATGAAAAAAACATTGTAGAACACTTGTTATGGCATATCCTTTTTTAGCAAAAAAAAAAAAAAAAAAAGCCTCATTTAAAATAAAGGTTTTTAAGTAACTATGGAAAATTCCTCACACAATCAGTTCTCTAATAAATATCTGGATGTAGCCATTAGCCAAAAGTCTCTGTAGAAAGCAACTATGTTTTTGAAGGAGACTTAAGACTTTCATCTTAAATCATGTCAAGAAGTGGCCAAGAAATAGAATCTTGTCTAGAACTAACAAAAGGCCACTTTCTCATCTTTAAAAGAGGCAACCAAATATTAAAATAAAACAACTGTAACATCCAAACAAGCAACAGACAAAAAATGCTAGGAAAAATAAGGAAGTTAATGACAGAATACTTTTTTCCTACTTTCTTTTAATTTTGTTTCCACCCTAAAATAACATCAGATCACTGGTGAAAGGCAGTAACTCTAATAAGACATGCTGATAACATTGGGTGTGGTTTTCTTTCTTTCACTGTGTAGACTCAGTGTTGAATTTCTAATGGATTGTCTTTTTAAATTATTTTTATTTAATAAGCATTTGTTTTCATTTTAATTAGTTAAAATTATTCTTATACTCTCTCCAAGTTCCTGCATCTCTCAAACACAAGTGTCTACTTCATTTTGAAGGAAGAAAAGAATAATATGAAAAGAATAATGACAAGGTAGTCTTTCTCTCTGCAGAGAATTGAGGATCTGGGTTCCCTACAACATATAACATTAATGGACAGATTTTTCACAAAAGCTTTAAGACCTTAGCACAGATGACGAGTGAGGGGGATTGTGAGACTTTTTCTCCGTGGGGTTATCTACCAATGGGAATCAGAGGCAAACTGCTGGACTATCTGGTGAAGTTAACTCCCTGCTGCCTAAAGCACACAATCTCATACATCTGTTAGTCAAACTTTGTTTTCAGGTAGAATTTGTCAAAGCCCTATCCCCATGTGTAACGATTGAAGATCTGATTGAAGATTCTCAGAGTTTGAGTCATTACAGCTCTGAAATATTTCTGGAAACTTACTATGCCCTTTTTAGTTACTTTTTTTTTCAAATAAGGAAGGAGAGTGAATTTGGGGGCCACCATTATTTACCTGGTAATGTTGCATTTCCTTGCTAAGGGAGGGCTGGGAGAGGCTGACTTTCTGAAGGGCTTTCAATCAGCAGTTGGATGGATGTACTCTGCTACTGTATACCCCCTCTAGCACTTGGCTTTTAATTTTTACATCTGAATTATGAAATGCCACCTCTACTAGCTACTGCCAGGAGCCCAGAACATTAATATTGATGTCCAGAAAGGTTGGGAGCACAGCTACAGAAGATTTAAAGATGAGAATTATCAGGAACGTCACTCAAGTAAATAAATCCACTATACAGTTTACTTACCTTTTCACACCAAATTTTAAAGGAAATTTATTTTTAAAGAAAGAGAAAAATCAGCATATGATCTGAGCCCACTAAGTATAGCATAGATGTTTCCCTCTTTTCTTCCAACCACACTCACCTGTCATAATCACGTATGATTGGTATGGGCTGAATGCAGCGAAGTATGTTGCAGCACCAAATAATATAAATAGAAAAAAAAATGAGGGGAACAAGAGACAGAGAGAAAGGGCAGGTTAGGACACAACATGTGTCCCCTTGAAATTTTATACTTAGTTATAACCACATCAGTGTACAGAAGGCAAACTGTTGCTTGTGATTTTTGAGAACCATCTGCTGAGCCTAAGGCAAATTTCACATTAAAACCCAATTTCAGTTGTGACCTAAAAATGAGGAGAAATGCTGTGGTTCTGAGCAAATTCCACTTTGAATGTCTTTTCCCTACCCTTGGCGTTGCGAAGTGAAGCTTATAGGGTAGGAACCTAAATGAAACAAAAGCCACAGGAGGCAAACAGAAAGTGCTTAGTCCTTCCTTCTCTACCCCAAGATTTGCACAGCTGTGGTAGCGTTCACAAACCTGACTGAAGTCCTGAGATGAGGACTGATTGCAAATCTGCTGGACCAGCTCCCACTCACAGTGGAGCAGGATTTGCTTATTTTTCATTTTCAAATATGACTCCAGCTCCCACAGTTTGATTTTCCATCAGGAACAAAGGTTTGGAATCCTCATGTAATTAGGGGAAATCCAAGCATAGTTTTTCTTCAGGAAAAAATTAAAAACACAAAATAAGAAATGAAGGCCAAAGTAGACTTTATTCTAAATTCCCTCTAATAGTTATTTTTCTCCAGCCCTCCCCTCTCCCTTTTAAACAATGGTAGATTACAAAGCCCGATTTCAAAGGATCTAATCAAGTTGAGGAGATAAATACAAGGCAATTTATATAAGCAAAATGCAGCACTACGACTTAAATCAATTAGTACTTTGATGCACATATGTGAAGTCTTTAGAATGGGACAGAAATATCTTCCTAGAGAAGGTAGGAATCTTAAAGAATGCAATGGGTGTGTTTTAATGATGCAAATCAAGGACTTATGCACTATAAGTGAACCCACCATAACTGAATACCCAAAGTTTGCTTGGGCACTGCATTGTCACAGTGCGTGAAAGAAGGTTGTGGGACCCTGGTTCAGTCTCACATGAAACTGATTTGCTGACCATTAGTGAAATCAACACATGGCTGAAATGACTGTAGATGTTCCTCTTGGCAGCTCATTACTCTGTGCTTTAGCACCTGCAGGAAAAGCCTTTGTCAGATCCTTCTACAGACCAGTGTTTCCCAAGCTTGACTGTCCACATGAATTACTGGGGGCTCATGTTAAAATGCGGATTCTGATTCAGTAGTTTGGGGGCAAGGCCTGAGAATCTGCGTTTCTCACAATCTCCCAGATGATGTGAATACTGCTGGTCTATGGAACACACGTTGAAGAGCAAAGGTACAGGACTAACAGTACATTTATTTATATAGTTTTGAAAATTTCCAGGTAGAAGTGCATGTGTGTGTTAAGCTAGTGATGGTGATAGGAATACTAAAATCGTGATCCAGATGTCTTTTGAAAGCATAAACTAGCTTGAGAGAATTGTACACATAGTCCTTGGAATTTGGTACCCCAGTGCCTCTTACTAAACAATGGCATTACATTTTGGTCAAAGCCTAGAAGTTTTGTACAGGTGGCATCTGTGACACTTTTATTATTCTTCTTTCCCCCTAAAGTCTCTGTAGAGCAAAAACTTGGAGTGCTTTATTAGATGAATTAAGACTAAAAATTCCATTTCCTTTTCTGTGGCAATAAAAATGTGTTCAAAACCTCTTCAGAATTCACTGCTGCATGTTTGGTGCAGTTTCTGCAAAGCTGCTTCAGGGTCTTTCACAAACCTATATAGGCCTAATCACAAGGGATTCTGTTGTAATAGCTCTTTCAAAGTCTGGTTGCTAAGCTTTTCTAGGAGTTTATTTCACAATATAACATTTTTGTTGCTTTTCTTCTGCTTCAGCATTCAGCGGTTCAACAAGGATCTTTTGGACACTTACTTTGTGAAAAAAAAACTCCTGGAAACTAGAAAAATGCTTAATACTTGGTCAGGCATCCCTGGGTTCAAATTGTAGTCCTACCTGTATACCCACATGACTTTGGGCAAGTTTATATAACCTAATCCTCAGTTGCCTAGTCTGTAAGATGGGAACAATAATCCCTGTTTATCTGTAAGATTACACAGGATAATGCATACGCAGTTCTTATAATAGCATGAAATATGTAAAAACTAAAAGTGGTGTAAATTATATTATTACAATATTCATTCTGAGATAAAAATTAATAATATGCTTTAAAGTATGTGTGCATGATTGTGTTTGTGTGTTTCCCATAGCTTGCACAAGTGGAGACATTGTCTTACAACCTTGGTTAATATTCAATGGAAGAATTTTTAAATTTTTTTTTAATTAGAGATGGGGTCTCGCCGTGTTGCACAGGTTCCTCCCAAACTCCTGGGCTCAAGCAGTCCTCCTTCCTCCACCTCCCAAAGTGCTGGGATTACAAGCGTGAGCCACCACACCCAGCCAAGGATTGTATTTGAAGAGAAAAAAAAAAATGATGTAGAAAGGAAAGGCTTAAATTTATGAATAACTGATGGTCCCAAAAGGAGCTCCTAGAAACAAGGAAAACCTAAATTACTGAAGTTTTACTTCATTATTTCTTCTTATAATTGGACAAAGGAATATATTGATATTGAAGCAGTAAGTGATTCTTTTGGTATGTTTTTAGGTTACACTAAAGTTATTTTTAATTTTTTTATTTCAATAGCTGTTGGGGTACAAGTGGTTTTTGGTTATATGGATGAATTATATAGTGGTGAAGTCTGAGATTTTAGTGCACCTGTCACCCAGGTAGTGTACATTGTACCCAATATTTTGATTTTTATCCCTCATGAAACTCCCTTTATGAGTCTCCATACCACTCTGTATGTCTTTGTGTACCCCTAGTTTAGCTCTCACTTATAAGTATGAACATACAGTATTTAGTTTTCTTCACTTAGAATAATGGCCATCAGCTCTATTCATGTTGCTGCAAAAGACATTATTTCTTTTGTTGAGACGGAGTCTCACTCTGTCGCCCAGGCTGGAGTGCAGTGACACGATCCTGGCTCACTGCAAGCTCCGCCTCCTCGGTTCACGCCATTCTCCTGCCTCAGCCTCCCGAGTAGCTGGGACTACAGGCACCCGCCACCACGCCCGGCTAATTTTTTTGTGTGTTTTTAGTAGAGATGGGGTTCCACCATGTTAGCTAGGATGGTCTCATCTCCTGACTTCATGATCCATCCGCCTCGACCTCCCAAAGTTCTGGGATTACAGGCATGAGCCACCACGCCCAGCCTATTTCATATATTTTTATGGCTGGGTAGTATTCCATTGTTTATATATACCACATTTTCTTTATTTACTCATTGCTTGATGGGCATTTAGGTTGGTTCCATGTCTATGCAATTGTAAATTGTTCTGCAATAAACATACATATGGAGGTGTCTTTTTAATATAGTGACTTCTTTTCCTTTGGGTAGGTACTCAATAGTGGGATTGCTGAATTGAGTGATAGATCTACTTTTAGTTTTTTAAGAAATCTCCATACTGTTTTCCATAGAGGTCGTACTAATTTACATTCCCACCAGCAATCTATAAGTGTTCCCTTTTCACCACATCCATGCCAACATCTATTGTTTTTTAACTTTTTAATAATGGCCATTCTTGCAGGAGTAAGATGGTACCTCATTGTGATTTTAATTTGCATTTCCCTGATGATGAGTGATATTCAGCATTCTTTCGTATAGATTTTGGCTATTTGTACATTTTCTTTCTAGAAATGTCTATTCATGTCATTTGCCTATGTTTTGATGGGGTTATTTGTTTCTTTCTTGTGATTTTTTTGAGTTCCTTGTAGATTCTGGATGTTAGTCCATTGTCAAATGCAAAGTTTGCAAATATTTTCTTGCATTCTGTGGGTTTTCTGTTTACTCTGATGATTATTTCTTTTGCGGTACAGAAGCTTTTTAGTTTAATTAGGTCCCATTTGTTTATTTTTGTTTTAGTTGCTTTTGTTTTTGGGGTCTTAGTCACAAATTCTTTGCCTAGGCCAACTTCCAGAAGAGTTTTTCCGAGGTTATCTTCTAGGATTTTTATGGTTTCGGGTTTTAGATTTAAGTCTTAAATCTATGTTGAGTTGATTTTTGTGTAAGGTAAGATATAGGGATCCAGTTTCATTCTTCTACATGTGGCTATCCAGTTTTCCCAGTACCATTTATTAAATAGGGTCTTTTTTCCCAATTTTTGTTTTTGTATACTTTGTTGAAGATCAGTTGTTGGTAAATATTTGGCTTTATTTCTAGGTTCTCTAATCTGTTTCATTTTATTGAATATTTGTTCTGTGTCTATTGAGATGATCATATGGTTTTGGTTTTTGTTCCATTGGCCTATGTGTCTATTTTTATACCAGTACCATGCTGTTCTAGTAACTGTAGCCTTGTAGTATAATTTGAAGTCCAGTTAATGTGATGCCTCCAAATTTCTTCTTTTTGCTTTCATTGATTTGGCTACTTGGGGCTCTTTTTTGGTTCCATATAAATTTTAGGATTGCCTATTTTTCCATTTCTGTGTAAAATGATGATGGTATTTTGATAGGAGTTGCATTGAATTTGTAAATTGCTTTTGTTGGTAAAGTTATTTTCATGATATTCTTTCAATTCCTGAACATGGGATATGTTTCATTTGTTTGTCTCTTGTACAATTTCTTTTAGTAGTGTTTTCTTTTTTCTGTTGCTGCCGCACAAATTAAGTTTTAGTAGTGCTTTGTAGTTCTCTTTGTAGAGCTCTTTCATCTCCTTGATTAAGTATATTCCTAGTTATTTTGTTTATTTTTTTGTATCTGTTGTAAAAGGGATTGAGTTCTTGATTTGATTCTCAGCTTGGTTATTGTTGGTGACTAGCAGTGCTAGTGATACATTGATTTTGTAACCCAAGACTTTACTGAATTTGTTTATCAAATCTAGGGGTATTTTGGAGCATTCTTTAGGATTTTCCAGGTATACAATCATATCATTGGTGGGTAGTGATAGTTTGAGTTTCTCTTTTCCGGTTTGGTTGCTCTTTATTTCCTTCTTTTGCCTAATTGCTCTGGCTAGGACTTCCAGCACTATGTTGAATAGAAATGATAAAAGTGGGCATCCTTGTGTTGTTCCAGTTCTCAGGGGGAATGCTTTAAACTTTTCCATTCAGTATGATTTTGTCTGTGGGTTTGTCATATATGGCTTTTATTATTTTAAGTCCCTTCTGTTCCTAGTTTATTGAGAAGTTTTATTATAAAAAGATTCTGGGTTTTACTGAATGCTTTTTTTGTGTCTATTGGGATGATCATATGGTTTTGTTTTTAATTCTGTTTATTTCATGTATCATAGACACATTTATTGACTTGCATATGTTAAACCATCCCTGCATCTCTGAAATGCAATGCACTTAATCATACTCTATTATCTTTTTGAGATGCTGTTTGATTGGATTAGCTAGTATTTTGTTGAAGATTTTTGCCTCTATATTTATTAGGGATATTGGCCTACAGCTTTCTTTTTCTATTAAGCCCTTTCCTGATTTTGGCATCAGAGTAATACTGGCTTCATAGAATGAATTAGAGAGGATTCTGTCCTTCTCAATCTTCTGGAATAGTTTCAGCAATATTGGTACCAATTCTTCTTTGAATGTCAGGTAGAATTCAGCTGTGAATTCATCTGGCCCTTGGCTTTTTTGGTTGGCAGTTTTTGTTTTTTTTTAATTACTGATTGGATCTTACTGCTTGTTATTGGTATGTTCAGGGTTTCTATTTCTTCCTGATTTAATCTAGGAGGGTTATATGTTTCCGGGAATTTCCATTTCTTCTAAGTTTTCTAGTTTGTGTGCATAGATGTGTTCATAATAGTCTTGAATAATCTTTTTATTTTTGTGGTATTGGTTGTAAGCTTCATTTCTAATTAAGTTTATTTGAATCTTCTCTCTCCTTTTTTCTTTGTTAATCTAGCTAATGGTCAATCCATTTTGTTTATCTTTTCAAATAATCGACTTTTTGTTTCACTGATTTTTGTATTTTTTTCAATTTCAGATAGCTGTCTTCTCATCTTTGTTATTTCTTTTCTTCTGCTAGCTTTGGTTTAGTTTGTTCCTCTAGTTTCATGAGGTGTAACATTAGGTTGCCAATTTTTTATCTTTCAGACTTTTTAATATAGGCCTTTAGTGCTATACACTTTCCTCTTAATGTTGCTCTTGCTGTATCCCAGAGGTTTTGATAAGTTGTATCACTATTGTCAATTTTTTAAATTTTCATCTCAATGTCATTGTTAAACCTCAAATCATCCAGAAGCAGATTATTTGCTTTCCATGTATTTGTATAGTTTCAAAAGTTCCTTTTGGAGTTGATTTCTAGTTTTATTTCACTGTGGTCTAAGCAGATACTTGACATGATTTTGATTTTTTTTTAACATTTATTAAAACTTGTTTTGTGGCCTATCCTTGGTCTATCTTGAAGAATGTTCTATGTGCTGATGAGAATAATGTATATTCTTCAGTTCTTTGGTAGAATGTTTTGTAAATATCTGTTAGGTCTATTTGTTCTAGAGTGTAGTGTAAGTCCATTATTTCTTTGTTGACTTTCTCTCAATGATCTGTCTAATGCTTTTAGTGGAGTATTGAAGTCCCCCACTATTATTGTGTTGCTATCTCATTTCTTAGGTCTAGTAGTAATTACTTTATAAATCTGGGAGCTCCAGTGTTAGGTGCATGTAAATTTTGGATTGTAACATACTCTTGTTGGATTGATCATTTTCTCATTATATAATAACATTCCTTGTATTATTATTATTATTTTTACTGTTGTTGCTTTAAACTCTGTTTTATCTAAGAATAGGTACTCCTGATCGTTTTGGTTTCCAAGATATTCTATGCTTTTACCTTGAGTTTATATGAATCCTTACATGTTAAATGAATCTCTTGAAAACAGCAGATAATTGGTTTATAATTTTTCATCCACTCTGCCAATCTGTAGCTTTTAAGTGGAGCATTTAGGCCATTTGTGTTTAATGTTAATATTGAGGTGTGAGGCACTGTTCCAAGCATTGTGTTAATTTTTACCTAGATACTTTGTTTTCTTTATTGTGTTATTATTTCATTGGCTCTGTAAGTTTTATGCTTTCAAGAGGCTCTATTCTGATGCATATCAACCTTTTGTTTCAAGATTTAGAATTCCTTTTAGCATTTCTTGTAGGGCTCATCTGGCAGTGACAAATTCCCTCATCACTTGTTTGTCTGAAAATGACTTCATTTCTCCATCATGTATGAAACTTTGTTTTGCTGGATACAAAATTTTTGACTGGCAGTTATTCTGTTTAAGGAGGCTAAAGATAGAACCCCAGTTCCTTCTGGCTTATAAAGTTTCTGTTAAGAAGTCTACTGTTAGTCTGATAGGTTTTCCTATTTAGGTTATCTGATGCTTTTGTCTCATTGCTCTTATAATTCTTTCCTTCATGTTGACTTTAGGTAGCTTGATGACTATATGGCTTAATGACATCCTTATCGCAATGTATGTCATAGGAGTTATTTGAGCTTCTTGTATTTGGATATCTAAACCTCCAGCAAGGCCAGGGAAGTTTTCCTCAATTACATCCTCAAATATGTTTTTTGAACTTTTTTCTTTTTCTTCTTCCTCAGGAACACCAACTAGTCTTAGGTTTGGTCATTTTACATAATCGTATATTGCTTGGAGACTATTCATTTCTGTTTATTCTTTTTTTATTTTTGTTGGACTGTGTTAATTTGAAAACCTTGTCTTCAAGCTCTGAAATTCTTTCTTCCACTTGTTTTAGTCCATTAAAACTCTCCACTGCATTTTGTAAATCCCAAAATGTGTCTTTATTTCCAGAAGTTCAGATTGATTTTTCTTTAAAATGGCCATCTCTTTAGAAAATTTTTCATGCATATCCTGAATTGTATTTTTTTTAAATTCTTTATGTTGGTTTTCACCTTTCTCTGGTATCTCCTGGAATAGCTTAGTAATCATCATGAGCTCTCATGGGAGAAGTCCCAGCTATGTCTGCAGTGGTGGATGAGGGGGAAAAGAAATCCCCTTCTCCAAGGCCCTTTACAAGGACCAGGGCTGCCTGACTGCTGGGGTAGAGCTGCAGAATTTCCTTGCTGAGCCCAGCACTGGAACTTGCCTCTGCTGAAAGAAACTTCCCACCAGAAAAAAGATCTGGGACTCAAGCCTGCCTTCTGGATTCTTTTGTCCCACAGAGTAGTCTCTTGATGTGGTACACTCCCTCTTCCCCTATGATTAGGAGTCCCTTAGTGCCAGATTACTGTGAATACTGCTGCTCCTCTGAGTCTAGCTGCCCAGTGGGGCTGCCACACTCCAAGCTGGTGCTGGGGAATGTCTGCAAGGAATCTTGAAGTGACCTGTCCTCAAGTATCCCAGCAGTGTGTACCAATACCAGCTCTGATGGGGGTGCCAGGGGAGTGACATATACTCTGTGAGGTTCCTTGGTTATAAGTAGCCTTAGCATGTTGACTTTCACAAATTCTGGTTGTAGTAGTAATGATCTACTCACATGGAGAGACTCAGGACCTTCTGGTTAACCAGGCTGGTGCAAGCAATGGTGATAGGTGAGGTTATACACAAGTTTTCTCCTTCCTGGGTGTCATGTTATTCTACCTGGAAATGTTGTAATGGATTGTGTCAGTTGGCCTCCAGCCAGGAGGTGGTGCTTGCAAAGGAGTCCTAGCTCTGACAGTAGTGGTGAGATTTGTGCTTGCCTTATGTTACCCAGGAAGTTACTCTGGGTTCTTAGGTGATAAGTGGGGCTACAGAGCCTCCTAAAAGTTTTTATCTTTTGTATTAAGCTACTATGGCAGATAGAGGGGCAAAGCCAAGTGAGGGCTGGGTCAGGTAGGTCTGTGCTCTGGTTCTCCATGGGCATAGAAAGCAGTGGCTCCTTGGGAGTTACGGGGGGTCAGGTCTCTGGCCACTGGGGTAATGTTCCAGGGAGAAGTGTAGCTGCCTTTGCTGCCCAAAAGAGTTTATGCAGGCACTGGGAAACAGCAGGCAGCAGTAAACCCCACCCAGCTCCCACATACTTGGCAAGGCAGGTCTCACACCCTCAGTGCCTTAGTTCCGGGCAGTCTATGCTCAGAACTGAAAACTGCCCCAGGCTATAAGCCTTCCCCATGGGAGACAGCAACCATAGCTTTCAGGCCACGCCTCTCCCTATCTGCCCACATGGCTGGGGATCCCAGCTCCTGTGCTTGTGGTTGCAGCACGTTTCCCACTCATTTCCCAGTTTCAGTTGGGAGCTCCTCTCAACCTGCTACTGCTGCCTGAATTAGCTAGCAGAATTCCATGAGGTTTCCTGTGAGATAGAATCAGGGATGGCTTCCCTGAGTCCATGCTGGAGACTGGGAATGCCCACAAGGGTCTTCGCACTCCTGCTCCCTAAATCAACTCCACTGCTGAATAGAGTTAAGGCTTTCCCCCATGGCCTGGATGGTCAGGTTCCCCAGTGGGGGTGGATATCCTGGAGGCAGTTCCTCCCCATCTCTGGGGATTTACAATTTTTCACCTGGCTCATGGTATAGGCTGCAGCCTGATGCTTCTTTCACAGTTTCTGTGTTTTCTTTCCATTTTCCTGTTATGTTTCTGCATTGCTTCAAGGAAAAAAGCTCACAGTGTAAATCTCTACACTTTATTTTGTCTTTCTAAGTGGGAGAGGCATGCTAATGCTGCCTCCAATCTCCCATCTTGGAACAAAATTACCTTTTGGCAATATTAACTTAAACTTCAAAAGAAAAGAGAATTCTCAAGGTAATATGTGAAACTTGAACTTTAAAATTAAAGTTCTGATAGCCTAAAATGGCAGTTCATGCTGTTTGTCCCACCTTCTTCTGCCCAACGTCTAGCATATGGTGCCAGAACCAAAACTAACACTCAAATATTTATTGAGATGAGCTGAACTAGATTTTTCACTCATAGTTAAAATGTTTCATAGGACAAAAAACCCTTCATTTTGAATGATAATTTTTGAAATAATTTAAAACTGGAGTAAATCCCAAGGCTCAGCTTGTGCTTTACAAGCTGCCAGTATTTTGGCCAATAGAGAGATAGCTAAAAATGGGGAAAGTGAGTAGATGGGGGTCTTCAGAACCTGCTTTTTGTGATTAGAGGGTGGAGGGATATTTGTGAAAAGAAGAATTAGCACTTTCAGAAACTGCTTATGAAACAAAAGCAACAATATAACCTGCTAGAAAAGTTCTTCCACTAGATGTGTGAACTTTGAAAAATTTATTTTACCTTTTTGAACTCCAATTTTCCCATCTGTAACATTGGAGGATTGTATTAAAATACATATAAATTTTATTCCATCTATGCAATCAGATTATTCTTATTTTTTAATGGACAACACAGTTTGCCATTTAATATTCCTGTCCTCAAACTATTTTTTCAGCCCAACAACTGTCTGGGACCCATATAGCTAGATGTCCATTCATAAATCACAGATGAAAATATGGTAACTAGCATTAGTGACCAAAGACATTTGTAGATTCTATTATTCGTAATGACATTTGTAGATTCTATTATTATTTTCCCATTTTACAGATAAGGAAATACAGATAGAGAAGGTGGCTTGTCAATGATCATACTCCTATCTATGAAGAGTTGAAGGCAGAATTAGAATATGAACCTGTGTGCTTTCAGATACTACACTTTGAACCTATATGCTGTACTGACACCTAAGTTTTTTTATCATGGTGGGTGAACAAGAAATGAAAACATGCCTTAGCAAAATTTGTTCCAGAGATGCCAAGTATATAAACTTGGATTCAGCAGAGTAGAGATGTTAGAAAATAATAAAAAATCATAGACGAATGCCAAAGACAGTGGGTGATACTGAAGAGAGAGGCTGGTGAAAAGAAAAGAAGTTTACAGCTAGGCAGAACTGAACTCTAAGTACTAGTTTTATCACTTCTCAAACACAGAATATTGCATTGGTCATTTAACTGAAGGTCATAATTTCCTTCAACTGTAAAATGGGCTTGATATTATAAACTTCTGAGGGTTGTTGTGAGATTAAATGAGATAATACAAGCTGAGTATTCCTTATATGAAATTCTTTGGACCAGAGGTGTTTCAGATTTCAGATTTGTTTTTAATTTTTGGATATTTGCATATAAATCATAAATTATCTTAGGGATGGGAACTAAGTCTAAACACAAAACTCATTTATGTTTCATGTGCATCTTATAGACATAGGCTGAAGGTAATTTTATACAATATTTTCAATAATATATATGAACTGTCCCATAAGGTCAGGTGTGGAATTTTCCACTGGTGGTGTCATTCAAATAGATTCAGTTGTTGAAACATTTCAGATTTTTTATTTTTTAATTGAGCATGTTTTGCCTGTGTACATGAAGTGTCTAATCCCTCTTTAGGGAGAGGAAGGAGTTCACAAAGCATCATGGGGCATTTGCAAGGGTATAAATTATATGTTGAAAATGGTTTCCTTTCAGTATCTTAGAGGATGTTTCTTGTTATTGTCCTTTGGATTCCTTGATCTACGAGAGTTTTCTCTCCTTATCTGGTTTATAACCCCCTTGAGGGCAAAGACAGGCTCTCCTATGGTCTGCACGCCCACAAGAGACAAGTGGTACCACACACACAGCCTCAACAATTTCCTATATGCTTCATGAGTGATATTTTGAGGGTATCCCTTTGTCTCTTTCTATTGGAATGGAATAGAGAGAGACTGAAAAAAGGGAGGTCAACCAGCAGGCTGTTGGGGAAGAAAAAAACATTTCCATTTTAAATCTACTAAGTCAGCAGTTCAGAGTCTGTATTGATTTGCTTTTTAAAAAGAATATTAATTTTCCTTAAAAAATGCGGGTGAAAGACTAAACAGATTGGACCTTGGATTTATTTACTAAGATGCAGTCCTTGATTATTCTTCTCTTTAAATCATCCCACTGCTATTCTGAAGGCCCTTTAAACATTACTATTAATGTTGCCTGTGTCTGGCAGAGGCAGGTGGATGTGACATTTTATAATTCAGATGTAAAAGCGAAAAGGTTCTCACAATTTCAACTCTAGTGCCTTTACTGTGCCATGTGAAGAGAAGGGAAATTGGAGTATACACAAAGGGGCTAGAAAAATTATCATTTTTTTTCCTAAGATAACTAATGCCATTAGAAAGTTCTTATGAGAAAGTTCCAGATTTCTATTTGGACAAAAGAATGCTTGATGTCCAGTTTCAGTTCTGATCACAGTTGTATTTGTGTGGACATAGCTTTATTTGTTTGTTTGTTTATTTATTTATTTATTTATTTATTTTTAAATAGTGAGGGGGGTTTTGCTATGTTGCCCAGGCTGGCCTCAAACTCCTGACCTCAAGCAATCCTTCCATTTAAGCCTCCCAAAGTGTTGAGATTATAGGTGTGAGCCACTGTGGCCTGACCTGGACATAGTTTTAATACTGGGTTTCTTTGTTTTGTTTTGTTTTGGTTGAATTCATCCTTTCCTTTATTCATTCAATAAATATTTCTTGAATACCTGGTGTTCACCCAGTTGGGAGAGGCAGGAACCAAACAAAGTCCCTGACCTCAGGCACAATACAGAAACTACTCCCCTTAGTATAGTAGAAACCAGCCACACAAAGTCAAAACTTTAATTGGTTCACCCAATTGATGATAATTGAGCACCATCATAAATCAGGTACAGTGCTGAGTAATGAATTACCTACCAGTGAATAACACTAGATTTCTCTGAGGGAGCTATCAGTCTTTTGGAGGAAGCAGACACACACAAAGAAAACAGAGTGATAAAGGGAATATAGGAGAGAAGTAGCGATTAGCCATGGGAATGTAGGCGAAGATGGGTGAGGAAAGGTATTTTAGCACAAAAAGCCTCTTATGAGAAAAATGGGAGTCAAAAGAGAATGTGGACAGTGCTAATAGAGAAACAAAAGTAAGTATGAGTGTATTGGTAAAAGAAAGAATGGAGTGGAGAAGCCAAGGGGAAGGGGGCAGGAGGTTGGAGGAAGAAGCATTTCTAGATTGCCTGACCCTGGTATGTCACGTTGAGGAATTTGGATTTGATCCCTAATATATAAGCTACTGGAGTTGAGGTGGGGGCTAAGGGTAACTCATCCTGCTTTATTTCTGTATCTATAGTGCCTATAAAGGCTGAATAAGTCTTCAGGGAGCAAATGGATAAGCTAGGAGACTGAAGGAATGGGATAGGATACAGGGGATGGTGATGACATAAGCTGGTTTTTCATTCATAAAAATGTTCTGGCTATATGAAGGATGTACTTATAGAGAGCCAGGAAGGGGTTCGGGAAACATGTTAGTAGATGACTGCATTGATCCTGGCAAGAAAAGATAGTCTAAACTGGGATGGTGGCAGTGAGAATAGAATTTTCTGCCATGGGGAATGGGAACACTTTTTGCCCATCTTCTATATAGTCGTCATATGGTTAGGTTTTCTTGGTTTTGATTTCTGTTTGTTGGTTGGTTGGTTGGTTATTCTTTTTCAGGGTTTTATAATATTTTTTCTTGTTTTCTATATTTTTTCTTATTTTCTTTTCCCCTGAAAGGAGTTCCCACCTCCAAAATTGCTTGCTCCCAATATCAATGTCAGGTACTCAGCAGACACTTTTTATTTATTTTTATTCAAACTAAATTTATTTTAAGTGTTGATTATATTTTATTTATTAAAATATATATTTAGGGAGTGCAACTGCAGATTTCTTACATGCATATATTACATAGTGGTGAAGTTTGGGCTTTTGTATATCCGTCATCGGAACATTGGAATAGTTAACATTGTACCCAATAAGTAATCTTTCAACCTTCACTTCCCTCCCACGTTTTGTAGTCTCCAGTGTCTATTATTCCACTCTGTATGTCCATTGTTTAGCTCCTACTTATAAGTGAGAACGTGTGGTATTGTGGCATTTGGCTTTCCAAGCAGATACTTTAAAGAAAAATTGTGTTTTAGTAACTAAGCATCCTGAAGTATGTGCTCTTTAGGCCAGGCATGGTGGCTCATGTCTATAATCCCAGCACTTTGGGAGACTGAGGTGGGCAGATCACTTGAGGTCAGGAGTTCAAGACCAGCCAAGCCAACGTGGTGAAACCCTCGTTTTTACTAAAAATACAAAAATTAGCTGGGTATGGTTCTGGGTGCCTGTAATCCCAGCTACTGGGGAGGCTGAGGCAGGAGAATTGCGTGAACCCAGGAGTTGCAGGTTGCAGTGAGCCAAGATTGTGCCACTGCTCTCCAGCCTGGGTGACAGAGCAAAAAACTCCATCTTAAAAAAATAAAAATAAAGTATGTACTCTTCAGTTTTGCAAACATTCCATTTTCACTGTATCTCATTTAGGTAATCGGTAGTAGCTTGGTATTGAGCTGTGGTTCAGAAGTACTTCTCACACTATGATCTTTAAGATCCAAATCTTTCTTAACAAAACTCTTCTTCAGGCCTTATATTTCTCCAATACTCTCCGCTTTACCAGTTGCAGAAATGATTGAATGGCATGACACCTCTCCGTGCTCCTAAAGTGAGCATTTTGTCCTGTATCTGTGGTCTCCTTGCTGGCTTATTTCCCACAGATAAAATCAGCACTCCTGTATTCCTTGGAAATTGGAAATAAATTTTAAATGCCTTGCAGTGGAAAGTAACTTTGTTTAAAGTTGAAGCTAAAAAAAATTTTCACATTTCACATTGCTATAAAGTTTTCTATGTAAACCCCTTTAAAAAAAGTGTCTTTGGAAATGGTCTTAATCACATGAAGCAAACTGTGAGTTCCATGAGGAGAAATAAAGTTCTGTGGGGGCTTATCGGAAAGCCTTAAAGTATCTTCCATCAGGTAAGTTTTAATGTCTCCAAAGAATTAGATATATATGTAGATGATATAAGTGATATAGCTTTTAATAGAGAGATATATCACATCCAATAGCATTTTCAAAAAGGAAATGGTTTTAGTGATTATCTTTAACAGATGGAATTTTTGATTACTGAACTCTGTAAGAAAATTTCTGACAGAAGAAAGTGCAAAGACAAGGCACAGACAGAAGGGAAGTATGTGGTCCAGTAAAATATGGAATATGGCCATAGCATAGGTCTGGAGTGGTAGTAGAAGATGCAACAGAAAACTATGTTTAGGTTATAGCTTGGAGGGTGTTTTGTGAAGGACTGAAGGGTCTGCTCTTACTTAGCTAAGCGACAAGTGAATGTGAGAAAACACTGCCTTAGGAGGGCACAGGAATAGAAAGCTTAATGCAAGAACTGGGGTCTTTGAAATGAGTCCTGATAATTCAGAATGTGAAGGACATTCCACCAAGATGGCAGAATAGTATGTCTAGACATGCAGAGGTGTGAACGTACCAAGTACATTTGGGAACTTTAATGTAAGTGGTTGCAAATACAATGCACGCCTCTGTATATGCCTGATTCTTTGTGGGCCTTTCATCCAGTGAAGCAGAAAGATGAAAGCTATGCAAGAAGCCAAAAACTAAGCATACCCCCAAACAAGTCAGAGGAGCTATGGGTAATGAGGTAGGGTTGGGGAAACTATACTTCAGTCATCAACTGTGACTGTGTTCTAGAGTTCCCTGATATGCCTAATGATATATCACAGTTCTTTTCCACTCATGTGTTTTCATCGTGTTTACTGACAATTCCCCTCCCTCTCCAGCACCCTGATACAATTTCCCCTGCTTTTGGGACTTTGACTTTTTTTTTAATCACCAAGTTACCCACTTTGGCCTTATATGACCCTAAATCTGTGTCTGTGATGGGGCCATGCTAATTCATGCTGTAAACTTACAGCTTTTCTTTAAGCAAAGGGAGAGGTCATGATACACGGCAAAGGGATGCCTCCTCCTGTAGCTGCTGCTCTAGAGGTCTGACCAATTTACTCCTTCATTGCCAATGTGCTATTCGTCATCTTCCTAGAGGAACACATAGCCCCAGATCTGTGTCTGGGTTCCAGGCAGGAGAAAGGGACAGGGTGGGTGGGAAGGGAGAATGGAAAAGGCTGAGGGTGGGAGGTGGGGCTGGTGGGCAGCTCAACTGGGCCCATTGAAATACCATCTGCCTTGTCACCAAATGGCAGAGGCCAACAATTTGCACAACATGATTAGTACTGGAAAGCAAATTAAACAATTATTACAGGGAGGCAATCAATTGGTACCTGGCAGTAGGCTGTGAGAAGATCTGTCAGTCTTCTTTATTAATTGAAGAAATGTCTTCAGGGGAGCACTTTCTAAGTATGCTTACTTAGTTACAGCAAAGGCTCAATCTCTTAGCAAGCAACCCATTATTATTATTAGCAGTAATATAATAATAATAACAATAATAGCAAATATTTTCTCTGGAATAGCAAATCTCAGAGGGTATTTTTATTGCTAATATTATTAGTGTTATGAGGGTATCTTTCTCATGCTGGGCTCTAATCGCCATTTTTATGAGTACTGTATATTCTTTCGTTTAGGCAAAAGGATTTATTTATGAAGGGACTTTTTTCCTTCCTGCACTACTGCTCTGAAGCTTAACTGTTTGTAAGAGGAGCATGCCATACTTAGAGGGTGATATATGTTATCAGTGGAATGCTGCCTTCTCAAATAAGGTAGCTGCAATGTCACTAAATGCTCAATAGCATATGAGCATGAATTTTGAGTTTTCTTTCGTCTATTTTTTCCAAGTGTAGCTTGGCAATGACTAGCTATATTATAGCAGGGATTCCAGTATCAGGTAAGAAACTGTACTTTTAAAAATGGTTCCTTCTAACCCGAGAATCAACAATTTTATGTGTGATGATGTAATATGAAGAATGCCAAATGATCAAGAGAGAGATCTGTGCTGCTTTTGGTAGAATAGCATGGCTGAAATCATGCTTCAAATAATAGTCAGAACATTTAGTGAGCTTTCTTACCCTGGGCCAGTGAGGGCAATGTCAGGAAGACTACCTCTGTCAGACCTAGTGCTTGGATAAAGGACAAAAATTCAGGTTATCTTCCTGCCGCTTATGACATTTTGGGAACATCTCAGGCGGGATATAGAAACTAAATATGCCTAGTAGTCAAATAAGAGTAAGTACTAGCAGCTGAGATCCAGAGTGTGCTGAAAAGTTTTAGGCAGGGCTGGTTGGCAGGTGAATCTTGTTACCTCATTTCATCTCTCTATCTCTCTCACACATACACACGCATATACACAGGCTCCCCTCTTTGCCCTCCACACTTTTTCTCTCTATCACCACAGGAGAGTATTTTTTACTCCAAGTTCTGAGACAACTCCTTTCTTTGCCCTTTGTCAGTGGGAGGAGACATCTTCTAGGCCTGTGCTTCTCAGTCTTTTGTTTGTATATGAGTCACTGGGGATCTTGTTAAAATGCAGGTTCTAATTCGGTGTGTCTGGAGTAGGGCTTGACGTTGCGCATGTCTAATAAAACTCTTAGGCGATGGAGATGCTGCTGGTGAGTAGACCAAATCTGGAGTAGGAAGGCTTTACATGCCTCACAGCTGTGCTGATTTGGGGTGGACAGAGGCAGAGAGTAATTCAGAATCTTATCAGTCCAGTAATCAAAACTGTGGGTGAAAGTGGATTAAAGCTCTAAAACAGCCTTGTCCTTCCTGTGGCCCGTGCTCTGCATGCAGTCCTGGACGGCTTTGAATGTGGCCCAATGCAAATTCGTAAACTTGCTTAAAACATTATGAGACTTTTTTGAGGTTTTGTTTTGTTTTGTTTGTTTGTTTTTTGCTTATCAGCTATTGTTAGTGTTAGTGTATTTTATGTGTGGCCCAAGACAATTGTTTTTCTTCTAATGTGGCCCCGGGAAGCCAAAAGACTGGACACCCATGAAAAACATGAGGTTCTCTAAACTCACACACCTGAGGGCCATATTGGTCAAACATCTCAGGGCTATGCTTTTCTTATAACATTAAAAAGCGATCCTCAACAGCTGAGAAAGGGGCCTCTGAGGAGACATTCTAGAATCCTCCCTCCCCCAAATCTGGGTTTACATCTTTAATGAAGGTTCAGGTGTTTTTCTTTATAACTAAAATAATCTTCTAGTATGAGACACAAAGAGATATGGGAAAACAGAAACATAGAGAAAGATAATAAAGAACACATGAAATATCACAAAGGTCATTTTGGTTATGCCTCAATAAAGCTGGAAAAAATATGAAAAGAAAACGGAAATAAAACTTTTAAAATACCATTTCAATAATCTCTCCAACCACCATGTTTTTCTGTTTGGTCTAATGAGTTATATACATAAAGGTATTTTTGAAAGAAAAGCCCGCACCATCCTGCCTGCCATCCTTTGCGCTTCCACAGTAGTCAAGCCCAGTACAGGTCATTAGCATAGTGCTCAGTTTGAGATGGCTTTGAGTGAAGTCCCCAAACAAATTTGATTGCTAAAGGGAACAGGGTTAATTGCCAGCCTCAATGCTTACACACAGAGAGGTAAGCATGCCTCACCAGCTCACAAATAACATGAAAATTAAATTACCCAGCTAACAGGCTGGATGTAGTTTGTTGTTTTTTTTTCTCTTCCTTTTTCTAATGTACATCAACAGATGGAAGGGTTAAAGATGTGACGGTTGGCTCAGACTGAACATGTCCTTTCTGATTCTGGAGTGTTTTTAGTTTCATCTTTGAAATTTGTTGTTTGTTTCATGTTCTTTCTTTGCAGGCTTGGGAAATTAGTCATTTCCTCAGAGAAAATCAGATAGTGGACATAAATCATTGAATCTCTAGGTCATTCATTTCAAACTACCTTAAAGTTCTTTTCACTTCCCAAAGTTCTTATCATATACTGACTGAGGAAAGAATGGATAGCTACATTTTTTTGTAGACAGACAGTTGCTCACATAATTTAAAACCCTACCAGACAAGTAATTATACATCATCTCCCCCTTAGTGCTTTCTACCAAGAAGGCGGAGACAGAGGATGTGTTTCAGATGAGGTGGAGAAAGGGGGTCAGTACCGTATCAGGAAAGCTATGTCCTGCTGTCTTTATTACAAAGGAAAAATGTGCTTTCATCAGAGATTTTACCTAGCAAGTGGGTACTATATATGAAAGAAAGAAAGGGATGAATAATATACTCATTTCTCCTTAATAGGACTGATCTAAAACAAAGTAGCAAAAAGCATAAAATGGTGATAATATACATCAATCAGTTGGAAAATTAGAATAATTTAGATTGTCATAGCATGTACAAAAGTCACATAACCTCTTCATGACAAATATTAGCTGTGCAAGACATTTAAAGTTTCTAAGCCTTACTAAAGTCCTTTTCATCTGTAGAGTGAGGAAAATAATAAATCTGTCCTCCAAGTTTTTTGTGGGGGTAAGAGGTGGAGTAAAATGATATTAGCTCAGTGCCTGGAACACAGCAAGCACTTATTAAACATTAATCATCATTATCATTTCCTTTTTGTAAAGTTTTGGACTAGATTAAGGATTCCTAACCTTTTTATTACCAGGTATCTATTTTGTTACTTTTTCAAGAACATATGTTTGAGAATATTTTCATACCCAACATACTACATTAACCAAGTAATAATTAAATTGTTCTCCCATTTTAGCTGTTCCGAGACATAGAGCAGTCGATTAGCGCTTCAGATGTTTGTAATAATAAGTATTACCACATTGAGTTGACATTCTAATATGAAGTAGAGAAGATCACATTTTAAAATGGCCGAACAGGAACAGCTCTGATCTGCAGCTTCCAGTGAGATCAACTCAGAAGACGGGTGATTTCTGCATTTCCAACTGAGGTACCTGGCTCATCTCACTGGGGCTGGTTAGACAGTGGGTGCAGCCCACGGCTGGTGAGCCAAAGCAGGGTGGTGTGTCACCTCACCCGGGAAGCACAAGGGGTCTGGAAACTTCCTCCCCTAGCCAAGGGAAGCCTTCAGGGACTGTGCCTTGAGGAACAGTGCACTTCGGCCCAGATACTACACTTTTCCCATGGACTTTGCAACCCACAGACCAGGAGATTCCCTCCAGTGCCTATGCCACCAAGGCTCTGGGTTTCAAGCACAAAACTGGGCAGCTGTTTGGGCAGACACTGAGCTAGCTGCAGGAGTTTTTTTTTTATACCCCAGTGGTGCCTGGAATGCCAGCAAGATAGAACTGTTCACTCCCCTGGAAAGGCGGCTAAAGCCAGGGAGCCAAGTGGTCTAGCTCAGCAGATTCCACCCCAACAGAGCCCAGAAAGCTAAGACCCATTGGCTTGAAATTCTGCCTGCCAGCACAGCAGGCTGAAGTCGACCTGGTATGCTCGAGCTTGGTGGGGGGAGGGGCATCCACCATTACTGAGGTGGTTTTCCCATCACAGGCTAAACAAAGCCACTAAGAAGTTCAGACTGGACAGAGCCCACCCCAGTTTGGCAGAGCTGCTGCTGCCAGACTGCCTCTCTAGAGTTTTCCTCGCTGAGCAGGGCATCTCTGAAAGGAAGGCAGCAGCCCCAGTCAGGGGCTTACAGATACAACTCTCATCTCCCTGGGACAGAGCACCTGGGGGAAGGGGCAGCTGTGGGCACAGCTTCAGCAGACTTAAACTTTCCTGCCTACCAGCTCTGAAGAGAGCAGCAGATCTCCCAGCACAGTGCTCGAGCTCTGCTAAGGGACAGACTGCCTCCTCAAGTGGGTCCCTGATGCCCATGCCTCCTGACAGGGAGACACCTCGCAGCAGGGTTTGATAGACAACTCTTACAAGAGAGCTCTGGCTGGCATCTGGCGCATGCCTCTCTGTGACAAAGCTTCCAGAGGAAGGAACAGGCAGCAATTTTTGCTGTTCTGCATCCTCCGCTGGTTATACCCAGGCAAACAAGATCTGGAGTAGACCTCGAGGAAACTCCAGCAGACCTGCAGCAGAGGGGCCTAACTGTTAGAAGGAAAACTAACAAACAGAAAGGAATAGCATCAACATCAACAAAAAGAATGTGCACACAGAAACCTCATCTGAAAGTCACCAACATCAAAGACCAAAGGTAGATAAGTCCACAAAGATGAGGAGAAAACAGCACAAAAAGGCTGAAAATTCCAAAAAGCAGAATGTTTCTTCTCCAAAGGATCACAACTCCTTGCCAGCAAGGGGCAAAAAACTGGATGGAGAAGGAGTTTGATGAATTGACAGAAGTAGGCTTCAGAAGGTGAGTAATAACAAACTCCATCGAGCTAAAGGAGTATGTTCTAACCCGTTGCAAGGAAGCTAAGAACCTTGAAAAAAGGTTAGAGGAATTGCTAACTAGAATAACCAGTTTAGAGAAGAACATAAATGACCTGATGGAGCTAAAAAACACAGCACAAGAACTTCATGAAGCATACACAAGTATCAATAGCTGAATCAATCAAGCAGAAGGATATCACTTAATGAAATAAAGCGTGATGATAAGATTAGAGAAAAAATAATAAAAAAGAATGAACAAAGCCTCCAAGAAATATGGGACTATATGAAAGGACCAAATTTACGTCTGATTGGTGTACCTGAAAGTGATGGGAAGAATTGAACCAAGTTGGAAAACACTCTTCAGGATATTACCCAGGAGAACTTCCCCAACCTAGCAAGATGAGCCAACATTCAAATTCAGAAAATAAAGAGAACACCTCAAGAAGAGCAACCCCAAGACACATAATTGTCAGATTCACCAAGGTTGAAATGAAGGAAAAAATGTTAAGGGCAGCCAGAGAGAAAGGTTGGGTTACCCACAAAGGAAAGCCCATTAGACTAACAGCATATCTCCTGGCAGAAACCCTACAAGCCAGGAGAGAGTGGGGGCCAATATTCAACATTCTTAAAGACAAGAATTTTCAAGCCAGAATTTCATATACAGCCAAACTAAGCTTCATACATGAAGGAGAAATAAAATCCTTTACAGACAAGCAAATGCTGAGAGATTTTCTCACTATGAGGCCTGCCTTAAAAGAGCTCCTGAAAGAAGCACTAAACATGGAAAGGAACAACCAGTACCAGCCACTGCAAAAAACATACCAAATTGTAAAGACCATCGACACTATGAAGAAACTGTATCAACTAACAGGCAAAATAGCCAGCTAGCATCATAATGGCAGAATCAAATTCACACGTAACAATATTAACCTTAAATGTAAATGGGCTAAATGCCTGAATTAAAAGACACCGATTAGCAAATTGAATAAAGTCAGGAACCATCGGTGTGCTGTATTCAGGAGACCCATCTCACATGCAAAGACACACATAGGCTCAAAATAAAGGGATGGAGGAATATTTACCAAGCAAATGGAAAGCAAAAAAAAGCAGGGGTTGCAATCCTAGTCTCTGATAAAACACACTTTAAACCAACAAAGATCAAAAAAACCAAAGAAGGGCATTACATAATGGTAAAGAGATCAATGCAACAAGAACAGCTAACTATCCTAAATATATATGCATCCAATACAGGAGCACCCAGATTCATAAAGCAAGTTCTTAGAGACATACAAAGAAACTTAGACTCCCACACAATAATAGTGGGAGACTTTAACACCCCACTGTCAATATTAGACAGATCAATGAGACAGAAAATTAACAAGGATATTCAGGACTTGAATTCAGCTCTGGACCAAGCAGACCTAATAGATAGATAACTACAGAATTCTCCATCCCAAATCAACAGAATATACATTCTTTTCAGCACCACATAGCACTTATTCTAAAATCGACCACATAATTGGAAGTAAAACACTCCTCAGCAAATGCAAAACAATGGAAATCACAACAGTCTCTCAGACCACAGTGCAATCAAATTAGAACTCAGAATTAAAAAACTCACTCAGAACTGCGCAACTACATGGAAACTGAACAACCTGCTCCTGAATGACTACTGGGTAAATAATGAAATTAAGGCAGAAATGAATAAGTTATTTGAAACCAATGAGAACAAAGACACAATGTATGAGAATCTCTGGGACACAGCTAAAGCAGTCTGTAGAGGGAAATTTATAGCACTAAATGCCCACAGAAGAGAGCAGGAAAGATCTAAAACTGACACCCTAACATCACAATTAAAAGAACTAGAGAGGCCAGGTGTGGTGGCTCATGCCTATAATACCAGCACTTTGGGAGGCTGAGGTGGATGGATTACCTGAAGTTGGGAGTTTGAGACTAGCCTGACCAACATGGAGAAACCTTCTCTCTACTAAAAATACAAAATTAATTGGATGTGGTGGAGCATGCCTGTAATCCTAGCTACTCAGGAGGCTGAGACAGGAGAATCGCTTGAACCCGAGAGGCGGAGGTTGCGGTGAGCTGAGATCATGCCATTGCACTCCAGCCTGGGCAACAAGAGCAAAACTCCATCCTCCCCACTCCCCCCACAAAAAAAAGAACTAAAGAAGCAAGAGCAAACAACTTCAAAAGCTAGTAGAAGACAAGAAATAACTAAGATCAGAGCAGAACTCAAGGAGATAGAGACATGAAAAACCCTTCAAAAAATTAATGAATCCAAGAGCTGGTTTTTTGAAAAGATCAACAAAATAGGTAGACCACTAGCCAGACTAATAAAGAAGAAAAGAGAGAAGAATCAAATAGACACAGTAAAAACGATAAAGGCGATATCACCACTGATCCCACAGAAATACAAACTACCATCAGTGAATACTATAAACACCTCTACACAAATAAATTAGAAAATCTAGAAGAAATGGATAAATTCCCGACACATACACCCTACCAAGACTAAACCAGGAAGAAGTCAAATCCCTAAATAGGGATTATCCCTTGGAACAAGTTATGAAATTGAGGCAGTAATTAATAGCCTAGCAACCAAAAAAAGCCCAGGACCAGACGGATTCACAGCTGAATTCTACCAGAGGTACAAAAAGGAGCTGGTACCATTCCTTCTGAAACTATTCCAAACAATAGAAAAAGAGGGACGCCTCCCTAACTCGTTTTATGAGGCCAGCATCATCCTGATACCAAAACCTGGCAGACACAACAAAAAAAGAAAATTTCAGGCCAGTATCCCTGATGAACATCAACGCAAAAATCCTCAATAAAATCTTGGCTGGTTCAACATATGCAAATCAATAAATGTAATCCATCACATAAACAGAACCAATGACAAAAACCCACATGATTATCTCAATAGATGCAGAAAAGGCCTTCGACGAAATTCAACACCACTTCATGCTAAAAATTCTCGATAAACTAGGTATTGATGGAACGTATCTCAAAATAGTAAGAGCTATTTATGACAAACCCACAGCCAATATCATACTGAATGGGCACAAGCTGGAAGTATTCCCTTTGAAAACTGGCACAAGACAAGAATGCCCTCTCTTACCACTCCTGTTCAACACAGTATTGGAAGTTCTGGCCAGGGCAATCACCCAAGAGAAAGAAATACAGGGTATTCAAATAGGAAGTGAGAAAGTCAAATTGTCTCTGTTTGCAGATGGCATGATTGTATATTTAGAAAACCCCATCGTCCCAGCCCAAAGTCTCCTTAAGCTGATAAGCAACTTCAGCAAAGTCTCAGGATACAAAATCAATGTGCAAAAATCACAAGCATTCCTATACACCAATAATAGACAAACAGAGGGCCAAATCATGAGTGAACTCCCAGTCACAATTGCTACAAAGAGAATAAAATACCTAGGAATCCAACTTACAAGGGATGTGTAGGACCTCTTCAAGGAGAACTACAGACCACTGCTCAAGGAAATAAGAAAGGACATAAACAAATGGAAAAAACATTTCATGCTCATGGTTATGAAAAATCAATATCGTGAAAATGGCCATAGTTCCCAAAGTAATTTAAAAATTCAATGCTGTCCCATCAAGCTACCATTGACTTTCTTCACAGAATTAGAAAAAACTACTTTAAATTTCATATGGAACCTAAAAAGAGCCTGTGTAGTCAAGACAATCCTAAGCAAAAAGAACAAAGCTGGAGACGTCACGCTACATGACTTTAAACTATACTACAAGTCTACAGTAACCAAAACAGCATGGTACTGGTACCAAAACAGATACAGACAAATGGAATAGAACAGAGGCCTCAGAAATAACACCATACATCTACAACCATCTGATCTTTGACAAAAAACCTGACAAAAACAAGCAATGGGGAAAGGATCTCCTATCCAATAAATGATGCTGGGGAAACTGGCTAGCCATATGCAGAAAACTGAAACTGGACCCCTTCTTTACAACTTATATAAAAATTAACTCAAGATGGATTAAAGACTTAAAGCTAAGACCTAAAACCATAAAAACCCTAGAAGTAAACCTAGGCAATACCATTCAGAACACAGGCATGTGGACAAAGCCTTCATGAGTAAAACACCAAAAGCAATGGCAACAAAAGCCAAAATAGACAAGTGGGATCTAATTAAACTAAAGAGCTTCTGCGTGGCAAAAGAAACTATCATCAGAGTGAACAGGCAGCCTACAGAATGGGAGAAAAATTTTGCGATCTATCCATCTGACAAAGGGCTAATATCCAGAATCTACAAGGAGCTTAAACAAATTTACAAGGAAAAAAAAACCCCATCAAAAAGTGGGCGAAGGATATGAACAGACACTTCTCAAAAGAAGACATCTATACAACCAACAAACATGAAAAAAAGCTCATCATCATTGGTCATTAGATAAATGCAAATCAAAACCACAATGAGATACCATCTCATGCCAGTTAGAATGGTGATCATTAGAAAGTCAGGAAACAACAGATGCTGGAGAGGATGTGGAGAACCAGGTATGCTTTTACACTGTTGGTGGGAGTGTAAATTAGTTCAACCATTGTGGAAGACAGTGTGGTGATTCCTCAAGGATCTAGAACCAGAAATACCATTTGACCCAGCAATCCCATTACTGGGTATATACTCAAAAAATTATAAATCATTCTATGAAGACACATGCACACGTATGTTTATTGCAGTGCTGTTCACAATAGCAAAGACTTGGAACCAACCCAAATGCCTATCAATGATAGACTGGATGAAGCAAATGTGGCACATATACACCATGGAATACTATGCAGCCATAGAAAGAATGAGTTTATGTCCTTTGCAGGGTCATGGATGAAGCTGGAAACCATCATTCTCAGCAAACTAACACAAGAACAGAAAACCAAACACTGCATGTTCTCACTTGTATGTGGGAGTTGAACAATGAGAACACATGGAGACAGGGAGGGGAACATCACACACCAGGGCCTGTTGTGGGATGGGGGGACTAGGGGAGGGATAGTATTAGGAAAATTACCTAAGGTAGATGATGGGTTGATGGGTGCAGCAAACCACCATGGCACGCGTATACCTATGTAACAAAGCTGCATGCTCTTCATATGTATCTAAGAACTTAAAAGTATAATAAAGAAGATCATATTTTAACTAAATCATGTTAAACTATTCAGTTTTATCTTGAATGAATATGAGCTGATTATTCAAAACATCTCAAGAACCTAGTTGTTCAGAGACCCTGGACAAGGACAGTCTGTAAAGTCGTTTCTATAACTAAAGCTCTATTATCCCGTGGTTGAAAATTCTTCAATGCCAGATAGAACCATTATGTGATTTCAGGGACACTGGAAGGTATCTCCACCCCTTCTGAAATCCCATCAACTGCATGACACCTGCAGTTTATCTTGCAACTGGATCACAATGAATGCAAGAATAATAGGACGGCTGGGATCTCATTCAAAGCTGCTCAGAATACTTACTATACTTACTATGCTTTCTTAACCAAGAAATCAAAATCCAGAAAGTGAACACCAGCATACTCAAACCAGTTAGTGCCATAGTCAGTATATCAGACAACCTTCCCAAGGTGAAGAGGGATGTGATCTTCCTCTGGCAAGAGGAATAAAACTATCAAATCTGAAATAAATAGAAATTATTTTACCTTTCACACATTTTCATAATTTCCCCTGCTGCTTCAGCTAATTAATTATCAATGCTATTTGTGTTTAGACAGAAGGGTTTGTCTCCTTCACAGCCCATCTGCTTCTTGGTAACCTTGCTGTGAAGTCATTGCACAGCAGAGTTGCTGATAAAGCTATCATCTCCATGACAACCTGCTGCTATGTCACAAATGCAGGAGTGTGACCTCACTGCAGCTAAAAGGAGAAATCAAACTGGTGTCTGATGTGCGAGGCAATAGGAATTTTTAATTAGACACATAGTTTATTCACTTTTCCCTAGAAATATGAGAAGGATCCTTATAGAGAAATATTACTACAATAACCTTACTGCTAATTATTAAATATTAAATGAACATTTTAATATTAGTGGTACAATATACATGTGCAAGTGGTTATACTTGGGTGAAATGTCCTATGTAAATATTGTATTCATATCCTGAAAACATTCTATAATTATTTTGTTATATATCTCCCAGCAAAGATGACTCATCTTCTGGTATGATATTTACCAAGCTTGAGAAAGTAAGCAGCTTCTTCCTCACTGATTACATCTATTTGTACAGCAACCCATATACTGAAGGGGAATTGTGACATGTAGCCACTGTATCTCTCTTAGAGAAGAAGCTAAACACACTGAGTGAGAAGGTGAATTCTGAAATCGACCCACAGGAACTGTTACCATAAGTTCTGATCAGCGTGTTGTTTTCTTCTTTGGATGGTTGGTTAACTAGTTACTCAGTTGTAAGATGTGGGCAGTAAATATTACAACCTGGAAGTGCTGCATCTCTCTAGCTGTCGGAGAGCTAAGGCGACATCATTCATTGGCCATTTGTTGTGTGTGCATGTACTAGATACTGTTTAGAGGAAAAAAACTAGAAGAGGTGCACAGCCTGTACCCTGTAGTTGTTTAGCATGTTATGGGAGATTGGCAGGATCAACAGGTACCTGAAAGCACAAGGGGATGTAGAATTGTCATATTTCAAGATTAATTTATATAGGTGCTAGGTATAGAAATAAAAGAAAAAGACATCAGACAAACTTCACATTAGATGGAAATTTTCAAATTGATGATTAGAAAGTAAGAATATGAAACAGCATCTTCTAAGTGTTTACTATGTGTGAGGCACCATGCTAAGCACTTTGCATTCTTCATATCGTTTAATCCTTTCAACAACCCTAGGACATAGGCTTTATGGTACATTTTATAGATGAGAGGATTATGGTATATTTTATAGTTTGGGGGTTAAGTAACTTGTCCAAATCAGTAGGCAGCAAATTGGCAAATTTCAGAACCTGTGTATTCCAGAACCTACAAATTTATGGCAAATTTATGCTGCCTGGGAAGATCAGATAGGAAAATTGCATAAACACAGTTCAGAGATGATAATAGGCAACATCCTATCGAGGACCAGTCAAATCCCCTTTGTTCCACTCTTCTCATTTGAAGTGACCTAAGGCATTGCCGGATGGACTGACTTCCCTACAGCTTTACCCATAATCCCTTCAAATTCAAAAATACCTTTTTCTTTCTTGTAACACTAAAGAAATATAGAAGCCAGCATATGTTACTTGAAAATACTTCCATTCTTGGAATCTTCCACCTTTGAACATTCTGGATTTTTAAGAATTAACTGAACTGTGTGGGAAGACTCAGCAGGATTAATATATTGATGGAAATGATGGATTCTACTTTTTCCTCACTTGCCTGCGTACTTAAAACTGCAGTTATTTATACACTGTGGTTTAGGCATCTTCTCCATTATATAACATCCATTGATCTATAACACTCATATGCTTTCCGATATAAATATTTCATCCATTGTACTTGTGTGTATTGTGCTCTCATTTGTCCCTGGAAACATTAAAGAGGAAAGATACTTGGATGAGTTAAGAGACAACAGGGTATTCTTAAAGCTGAATAAGTTAGATTTGTGTAAATGGGGATGGGAATTACTGGTTGGCCTTAAAGTTTAGGTTCTAAATTGGAGGCAACTGAATGGTACCAAACATTACTTATCAGGAATGTTGTAGGAGCTAGAAGAAATGTTGTTTAGCTTTTCCTTGCTTATATAAACTCATACAAAATTTACATTTTTAAGAGGAAAAAGCAGAAACGAGATCAAACTGTTCCCAGTTAGATAATTTGATTTTTTTTTACACAACAGTGTCACCAGGACATTAAGCACACATTATAAATAGGCATACTTCATTCATTTTAATCAGTGCGTAGTGACTTAATCTGTTTCTTTTTACAGATGAAGTTGTTTTCATGGTTTTTGTTTTTATTGTGTGGTTTGTTTTATTTTGTTTTGCTATTATGAAGAATGTTGCAATGAACCCCTTTATACATATATTTTGCAAAATTGGTGACTATCTCTGTAGGATAAGTTCTTAGAAATAGAATTGTTAGGTCAAAGGAAATACGGATTACATATTTTTATGGATATTGCCAAAGATTGTACAAAGTGCATCAATGTAAATGCCCACCAAAAGTGTATCTAGTATTTCAATGTATTTCCCTTCAGTGTTATGTAGCAGAAAAGTTTTAAATTTTTACAGTTTTGATGTTTTGTTCTTCTATAAATTGTCCATGTTATTGTTCTCATTTTTTCTATTGAATAGTTTAAAATTTCATCCATGGCCAGGTACGGTGGCCTATGCCTATAATCCCAGGATTTTGGAAGGCTGAGGCGGGTGGATCACCTGAGGTAGGGAGTTCGAGACCAACCTTGCTAACATGGTAAAACCCCATCTCTACAAAAAATACAAAAATTAACTGGGCATGGTCGCACGCGTCTGTAATCCTAGCTACTCGGGAGGCTGAGGCATGAGAATCCCTTGAGCCTGGGACGCAGAGGCTGCAGTGAGCTGAGACTGCACCACTGCACACCAGCCTGGATGACAGCGTAAGACTCTGTCACCCACCTCCACAAAAATAAATATATAAAATAAAATTTGATTTGTAAAATGATTTTAATATTGAACATATTAATCCTTAGACTATCATATTGGATAGAAATAGCTTTCACAACTATCATTTTTCTTTTGACTTAGTTTATGATAAATTGGAAAGTGGCAGGAGTTTTAAAATTTTATACAAATTTATCAAATGTTTTATGGCTTCTTGGTTGTAATTTTCCCCTTCAGGTATTTTAGGAAAAAAATTATATATTTCTATTTCATCCTTATTGGTCTTTTTTTCTGTTTATATATTTATTTATTATTTTTTCTACTTGGACATTATCTTCATGTATGATATAAGAAAGGGATCCAGTCATATTTTTTAAAATACTAGACCAGTGTTGCAACAACATGTTTTTAAAATCTACCTTTTACTCACCCTTATCAAATGTTAAATCCCCTGAAGTATTTATCTCTCCATATTATTTTCCTTGTTCATTGTCATTCTGAAAACCTGAGCCACTATAAACTGTATAAAGTATTGTAGCTCAGTGTTTTAATATTTAGTAGTCTCAGTTTCCCTTCTTTTATTTTATTTTATTTTATTTCATTTTTTGAGACAGGATCTCACTGCACTGTGGTTGCCCAGGCTGGAGTGCAGTGGCAGAATCTCGGCTCACTGAAGCCTTGACCTCCCAGGCTCAGGTAATTCTCTGACCTCAGCCTCCTGAGTAACTGGGACTTCAGGCGTGTGCCACCATGCCTGGCTATTTTTTTTTTTTTTTTTTTTATGGTAGAGACAGGGTTTCATCATGTTGTCTAGGCTGGTCTCAACCTCCTGGACTCAGGCAATCTGCCAGCCTCAGCCTCCCAAAGTATTGGGATTGCGGGTGAGCTATAGCATCCAACCCAGGCCACCACACCTGGCCGACTTTTCTTTTTTAAATTTTATTTTGTTTTTATCCTGACTTTTCTATGCGCTTTTTTTTCCATGTAAAACTTTGGTCATCTTCGTACTTCAGTTGAGATTGTGCTAATTTTTATAGAGAAGTGCTATCATTATAATATTGAATCTTGATCCTAGAATAACATGTTTTTCCATTTATTCATTTTTAGATCCACAGGGTAACTAAATATTAATATATTCCTTTCTTAGTTTTTATAATAACCTTTATAAATTCTGAGATAAAATAATATTGATCATCAAACATCTAAAATGTTTTTATTTTCATTACTGATTCCATTTTCCTGATGTCATTGCTTTGTGTCTTCTCATTTAACCTTGGAAATTTAAAAATTTCACAGCAGTGAATTAGTCCATCCAAATTTTGGAGACTAGCTTTTTAGCTGTGAAGGGTTAGTCAACAGTATTTGAATAATGGCGAATATTACAAACAGTGTAGAGCAACTGCCTCTTATTGCCTTTTACTTGGTGTACAGTCATTACTGGTGCAGAATTGAGTGATTTGGATGAAGTTTGCTTAAGGATCACTGTCATTATATATTTATGAATAACAGCAAACACTATTTAAGATAAGCCATTCCCTGAGAATTGACATGCCACATCAGGGACTGGATGATAGAATTCCCAGGCCTGTGTTTATGGCACTAACAATCTGTTTTATAAGCCAGCCTCTGCAAGATAATGATCATGGGCACTAACCATTCTATTCTCATTTTAATAAAAATTTCAAAGAGGGAAAAAAATCAGGGAAAAAAGATGATGGATGTAATGTTTAGGCTACCTACCAAACAGTAAAATTCATTTGACCATATTTGGAAGAATAACAGAAATAAACAGGCACACTTCTAGTAGTATCAGCAAGACATTGCCATTTGTACTCATATTCTCCCTTGTATTCTAATCCCATTTTTCTAGAAGAGTAATCAAATCCTCATATATTTTTTCTGTTTTTGCTTTTGTTGTTGATGTGTCTTAACAGCTAATAATCACTGCATCCTTCTGAAGCTATTCAAATAATTGCTTAATGTTCTTTTCCATTACCAGATTTTATTTAATTAGGGAAAAATTTCGTCTAAAGGGGGAGGTATCTGATCTTGTGGGGAACACAAGATGATTAACTTATCATTGACCAGGCTATACAGCTTTGTAGAATTCAGGAGTCAACACACTACCTGCTGCCTGCCCCATCTCACTCTTCTTCAATATTATTTCCTGTTATTATGCCTGTTATTCTACTATCAAGTTCAGCATTGCCAATCTTAACAAGTCAACAAATGGGCTTAGTCATAGAATAAGATGAATATTTTTTGGATATTCACTGGGTGTCTGATGTGTCTTAAGCCTATATATCATCCACTAGCCAGATCTAGAGCTCCTAGTCTTGTAACATATTATCAGACAGCGAATGATGTTGTAACATTATCTACTAAAAGTTGCTGTTGGTGTTGCCTCAGGAAACTGGGACTGAGGAGACTGAAAGGATAAGTATCAAGCTATGTCCCATTCAGCCCTTCCTTCTTAGACTCAACTGAAATCACCCCAGTGTCAGGATAAGAGGTAGGTGAGGGCCAGGGATACTGCGTAAGATTCCCTAACACTACACAGAACATGGGACATTCTAAGCTAGTAAGGATGTGGGCTTCCTGGTGTTCAATATTGTGGGAAATCATTTTTTGAATGGTGGCTACATGATGCTGAGGTGCTATTTAGCAGAAGTGGGAATCTCTTATGGAAATTACATTGTTTCTCAGGAATAAAGAAGACGTGTGCATTTAATTGAAAAAAAAATGGGAGAAAATATGGAACTATCACAAGGACCCAAGAAGGATGAGCAGAATAATTTGGGTGTCCTCTCTTCGGCATATTGTCTAGTAGCTGGCAGGCTCATGAAAGAATTGCTCCTGGAGAACATACAGTTGTGTTGCCACTCACCTGGCAAAGCTGCAATTCTACCCCTGGGAATTCTGTGGGACCTAAGACTACCCTTCGGAAGTCTAAATTCATTTCAATTACATAAATGATGGAGAATAACTTTCTATTGTCTCCCTGGTACTGTCTCAACTAGTACTCTAGAAATAAAGCATTCAAGAAAAGTTAGGTTATCAGTCCAGAGCAGAATCCAGAATAACAGTAAACCTATTACATCACTGTTTAATTCTCCACATAATCTAACTCTAGACAAATTTGCCTCACCTCTTTCCTTTCTCAGATGAAAGGTGATTGACAAGTAAACTTAATCATGTTAATATGATCTTATCCATGATTTTCCTTTGTTCTTAAAGATGAAACGTCAAAATTGATACAAAAGAATTTTGTGCAGTCAGGCCCCTACAAATATCTCCAATCTCATCTCCTATCAGGCTATTCTTTACTTCCTGGGATCCAGCCCTATCTGCCTTCTATAACTCCATATACTCATGTTCCTTGCTGCCATCACAGGGCAATTGCCTGGGATATGCTCTCTACCCAGACTCCTTTCCTTCTCCTTTTTGCTCTTTAAGACACCGTTTAGATCTTTGATGAGTATTATTTTTTTAGGAAAGCTTCTTTGACTTCCCTGAGCAGGTCAAATAATACTTATAGATTTTCAGAACATCATATACTTATCTTTGATGGCACTTATCACATTTGCATTTTCACATTTATCTATATGATTCGATCAATGTCTACTTCCGTCTCTAGACTCTAAGCAATTTGAGAAGGGAAATCTAGCCTGTGTTGTTCACTGTTGTATCTCTAGTGCCTACAGGGGTTCCCCGTATATAGCAGCTGTTTAAAAAAAATGTTGAATAATTGAAAGTTGACTTTAACTCCTTTCTGTATTGCCATCAAAAATCACTAGGATTTTGGACAAACAGAAAAAACTTCAGCAGAAATGTTTCACTGGCTTGGCTGCAGAAAGAATATAGGATATTTGGGTTATCTCCTGCCCTTAAAGAACATCATCAGCTGGGCTGAATAAAAAGATGCTGAATTCAACAGTGGTGACTCCGGATTAATAAAAGCAATGTAATCTAACAGTTGCCAAGATAATGCTTCAAAACCATCAAGAAAAGAGTGACTAAATAAATTTATCAAACAACCATGGAATGTTAAAGCTGGAAAGAATCTTCAACATTACATAGAAATAATCTTTCCCTTTTAAAAATAAGAAAGCAGAAGCCCTGCAGTGCAGAATTGGGACAATAATTCAAGGGTCTCTACATGTAATGCATGCTCTCTTTGCCACACCATTCTGCTTATAAAAAAAATAGCTGTCAGAGATACTTGGACTTTAAAAAGAAATTGTAAAAAATAAAATAATTCGAATTCATATACTCTAAAAAGATAATCAGTAGCCTTGTTTTTTTTCTTGCCACATAAATAAAAAAAGACTGAATATTATCTCTGGAACATATTACGTAGAAAATGGTATTATGGCAGTCACCCAAAAAAGCTTTTACTGTTTCTGGAGTATTGTTTGCATACATTAAAACAATTTTTTAATGTAAAAGGTAGTTCCTCTTCTTGTTCCATCCAATATGATATGATAAATGAGAGAGGTAGGAATTATAGATTAGAACCTCATTCCAGGAGTTGGCCAATCATCTGGTCAGAGATTTCCTGGGCTTTAGGGAAAGTTTCTTTTTTTTAGCAATCCAGTTTGAAGGAGTTAACTTCTGTCAAGATTTTCAGTATACACATGTTAATATATTTCTTCCATCTACAGCAATTTAATTTTCAAAATTCTAAAACTGTATTATTTCAATGTTAAAACCAATATGTTAACATGGAGCTTGATTATAGAATGCCACCAAAAATAAACTGACACACATGTAAATAATAAAAAGAGAAAGAGAAGAAAAGTCAACCTCCCAATCTTCTATAAGAATAAAGTGGCATCTGGTAGAATGACTACGTTGTGAATATAATTTGGATACTTTGGATTAAACACACACAAACACACTTATACACACACACTCAGACCTTTGAAAAAACTAGAAATATAATGGCATGATTCTAGTGGATATTTGCTGTATCGCTTTATTATTTAAATTCATTTTGAATTCAATGTACTGTATTTATAATTAAAATTACCTTTTTTTAGTGTCATTTAATATGTCAAAATAAATTAGAAAACTAGAACCTCCTTCTCATATTAAATTTTCCGTTGCATATCTACTAATTCAAGTTTGGCAGTGTTGTTTTTTTGCTAATTCCCAATTCAACCCAGAAAGTTATAGTAAGAGACTATGGGGATGGTGCCCAAAGAAAGCATTCAGAAAGCAAAACATATTCCTCATTGATAACTTTTGAAACAGAGGTGGATTTACTGTCAGGCTAATAAAGCATAAGCCCCTCATTTTCATGTGCGCCTTTCTAGACCTTGAGAAGGACTGTAGTAATGTTATATTTCTAATAATGAATTCTTTTCTTAAAGGGTCCTCTCCCCCAATGTCTAAGTTTTATGTCTCAAAAAATTTAGTCTGACTCTGCTCTAAGTCAAGTGGGGAAAAAAAGCATAGGAATCTCTAGCTGGTCATTTATTTTGCCTATTAATTTGAATATTGGTGAATGAATGTCTTCCATCTCACTCTTTTGATGCTTCCAGTCTTGAGTATACTGAACAAGTTCATTTCTGAGCATTCTCTTATTATCTGTTAACTACCACACATGTATGGTCCAGCCAGTGATAGATTGCTCTGTAATTAGCTGATTTAGCCCTAGAAATATTATTTTCTTGGACCTCCTCTCATTCCTCCAAAATATTTGAATTGGTATCCATTTTCCAGCCAAATGTATGTATTCTTGCATACATTTAGCTATAAAGGCATGTTCCACTTCTCTATTCATGGCTCCTAGTTTTATGCAATAATCTGCTCAACTTACCACTGCTGCCCTCAGTGATATAGTTCTGAGGCCAACATCTCACTATTAAAGGGAGTCATAATCTCTCTGCCCTCACATTTCATAATGGCTTTCTAGGAGACAAAAAAAAAAAAAAATCAATTCCTGATTCCTTAAAGGAGGTCCTCTTTTATCTTTATCATGTCTTCATTCTCTTTTTGTTTCTTTTGCCAAAACCCAAGGGGCCAGAAGGGTAGCAGCAGATGAAGAGAAGTTCTGCATCACGTTGACTCTCTGGCTCTATCTTAGGTCACTTCAAAAGTGCCATATCTCTAGGGGAACATGAAAATAATTTTCTGGGTTTTGTTTGTTTGTTTGTTTAATATGTTCTTCTTTTTGTTTTTTAAAAACACTTTACAAAGACAGCCTTTAGTGGAGGTGGCAAGTGGCCACAGGAGGCTCGCCAAAGATTGATTCTTAAAGTGAACTTGACATTGAAAGATGAAAATGGAGCTGGTGAGATACTTGCTGCCAGGGAGATGCCACTGGCTTGGCACAGTTTCTGATGATAGGCCACATTTAAAGGATTCATTTGTCTCTATAACTGGCAAGAAAAAATGATTCATATTAGCAACATGGCCAGTGAGAGCCATTCTCTCAATGGACCCAGATTTCTCTGTCCAAGGAGTTAGGAAGAAGGAGGACAAGTTTTTTGTTTTTTTTTTTAATATATTCTTCTTTCCGTTATTATTGGTTTCTAAGTTCATGGAGAAAGTACTTGACTTCTTTATTATTTTGCACTTCTGTACCTTTTGCTGAACATAGTAATTCTGCAATAATAGCTCAACATGAAAGAATCTAACAGCAAAGCTCTTCTCTCATACAGTAAGTACTAGGTATTAAGCACCTACTAAGTGTTTCTGGATCAGTTTCTTTTGAGATTATATCTAGTATAATCTCTCTATATTATCTTCTATATATAATATAGTAATATATATAATCTATCAATCTGTGTACCTTCATGATCTCATTTACTCTTCACACTAACCCTATGAGGTAATTATGGCCCTTTCTCATTTTCCAGTTGAAGAAACCAAGGCCAAGGAAATGTATATGACTTGTTTGAGCTCTATCTAATAAGTGGTGGACCTGGGATCTGACTGTGACTCCAAGCACATGTACTGCAAGGTTACATGCAATTTGTCCTATTTGCCACCAAGTGACACTTACTTTCAGGCAATAAGGCATGCCTGTTGATAGAGATAAGTGTTGGCCATATTATGTTCATATTATACTTTCAGAAACCAGTTAATAGAAGAGAGTAAGAATTGTCCAATACCTGTGAGACAATCACGCTGAAAGTTAGATACTCCAAGTGTTGGTGCCAGCGTTAACACACAAAGAGATTGAGTTTCATGATGAGAGAACTCATATAAGAAAATTACATCTACTTCTTATTGCAACCAAAACCTACCTTTGCTATTGAGAATTTCTGTTTGCTGTCATTGCTAATGCCAGTAATTTACACTGCTTCTGAAAGAAAAAGAGAGGAAAGGAGAGATAGGATGTTGTATCTGGATTCAAAATCAGATTGGATTGTCCCAGATATTGACCTGAAGGCATTGCAGCAGTTAGTAACAATAAATAAGAGTATCTGGGGACAAAGTTAAAGCTCATTAGGTTACATTGTACGTGCTGTGGTGAATGTAGGAGAGACAGGTGTGAGCAAATTATGGCTGGCTCAGTAGTTCCCTAGAAGATGGTAGATTCAGAAACCTTTCAGATTCTCAGTTGTGCCCTGAGCTATATCTAATGAACACTACATTCTGAATTCTTTGGGCTAAGCAGATGAAAAACTGTAGGTGTCAGAAGTGGCTTCAGTATGTGCTTTCATGCCTCATTGCCTAGTTCTTAGCCTGTTGCAGATTGTGTTTGAGGATGAAAGACAACAGTGTAGCAGTAGCTTCCTAACATATGGGAATATTTGTTTCTGTATGCATTGTCCCCCTCCAACTTTGTTTCTATGACAAATTCCCTAAAATGTAGTAAATAATTTGCGGTGTTAGTATCATAGCAACAACAGGTCTGTGTGGGTTGATTGTTGATTTATATCTAAAATGAATGGCATCTTTCAGAATGAAGGATGGTTGCAGCAGAATACATGACTGTATGTACTCGCTGTTGTCAGGCAGTAGCTTTGTACCTGCACATCTGTGCAAGCATACTTGACTATACCTGCAGCTAGCACAACACATGTTCATGTCTGGCATCCTCATGAAATGATTTAAAAAGAATGCGCATAGTATAACCTTATGCATGCTCCTATTCCCATCTCATAGAAATACAGGAAGGACTTATGACAGTACAGCATTTCCCCAATGTAGACCTTCTGTTTTATCCTCTCCAGATGATAAACTACCCATTGCTTTGTGGGGCAAAAGGCAGGATAGGGCTGGATAGGCATTTTCTAAACATAAGTGGGGAGGTAACTGGAAAGATGTCTACTTCTTAAACACTTTCAAAAAAAAAAAAAATCTCATTTTAGTTCTACTTTTACCTTACTTACAGTTGTCCCAGATGCTACAAATACCAAATCCTTGAAGAGGGAAGTTGTTTCTACAGAGTGAATTTGATGTCTCTTAGCTTTCTAGTTTCGAATTTGGTGTTCCCAGCTGTCTATGTCAATTACTACTAGCAGTTTTGTTTTACAGTTTCCAAAGTTTTATTATACTCATCCCTCCCCTTTCCTTTTTTTTTTTTTTTTTTTGCTTTTATCCCTTTAAAATATTTTTCCCCCTTTTGTCAGTTTAGTTAATATTGGGAAAGAAGCAGGGGTAAATTTGGGTGCAACCTGCCATCTTTAATTAGAAGTGTGTTTTATTCTTTAGTTGGTCTCTCTTAAATCTCAATCTTTCTTCGAAAACCATGGTATGATGCTACAGTATGAGTCTCCCTGAATTGTAGTGATGCCAAGGAAGAAATAATTTAGATGAGTTTTTGAAAAGACATTCAATTCAACTGACTAGTTCTGAAGCCTCTGAGAAGCCATGGATGAATTGGGAACTACTGAATACTTTACCCTTCAATAGACCAAAATTTCAAGGTTTAGGCCTGGGACTGGGAATTGTATTTATCCTGAAATATGCCTTAACCCCCTATTACTAGACTGGGATATAATAGATCATATTTAGAATTATTGCTGTCATCCAATTTGCTACTCATATCCTCAAATGAAAGAATAAGTGTTGACCCTGTTGCTTTGACCTTGAAGATAATTTGATTTCACCATATATTGGATTTTTTGACTGTTTTATAAGAAACACTTGTCAGTAAATTTGAGAAGTGTAACAACTGACCCAGGAAAAATTAGACTTGTAGAAATCATGTAAACTAAAAGTGCACATAGTAAAGTTTGTTATAGTTGAAAACTGACTGAGGAAAAATACCTCATGGGAACACTGAGAACTGCAAAAATTGACCCAAAGTAAATTAGAAATAGTAGAAACAAATGGAACAAAACATAATTGAGAACAGCTAAAACTCTATAAAATAACATGTTATTGACTGAAAAATTGATGAAAAAATAAAATATTCTTGACAAAATTTATGTCTGCAAAAATGGTCCAAAAATTGGATTTTGTAGAATTAATAAACACATATATAAGCACAAAAACTCTACATGTAAAATGCAGAAGCCGTAATTGATGAAATTCAATATGAACAAAAGACCTTGATCTTTCAATTATTCATTGTACAACATACACAGAAAAAAAATCATTGATCACAGTAAAGACAATTTTAGCAAAGCAAAAATGAAAATGGAAAAGATGGAAATGGGTCAAAAGGATCATATAGCATATTGATCCAAGAATGAAATTGGTAAATAGAGTTTTGTTCAGAAAATACTATCTTTACAAAAAGCCAACAATGTTGATACAATTTTGATTAAAATATTTGTATGTGTAACAAGGATTTAAAATATCCTTGCTGTCAAAATCTCACTGTCCTTAACATGTTCTCAAGATAATGTTTATGGCAAGATCACTTTTTATACATAAATAATGAGCTATGAAGGCACAGCTACAAAAGTACTAGAGTATGTGGATTAATTCAATACATGGCATTGAAGTTCACCATAAGCTAGAAGTTGTGTCAAATTGAGTCAAGATTGTGGCTTTCTCAGCTCTCTGATCCCATTTTGAGAGAGACATAGCTGGGATAGTATTTTGCTTATAATAGGAGTACAATACATATCTTTTGAATTTATGCTTAACCCTTGAGCACATTTTTTTTAATGGCCTGGATCACGTTTCTCTGTTTTTTGACATGTTTGTATGTTGCCCATTCCAATTACTTCCTACTTTCAGCCTATGCTGAAGTTCCTCCTCTGGCAATCTGACCCACATATATGTCCTAATTCCCAGTAGATCAAAAGGCCAGATGAAGTTCATATACTTTTTTTTTTTTTTTTTTTTTTTAAGACGGAGTCTTACTCTGTCACTAGGCTGGAGTGCAGTTGCATGATCTCGGCTCACTGCAACCTCTGCCACCCAGGTTCAAGCGATTGTCCTTCTCAGCCTCCCAGGTAGCAGGGACTACAGGCATGCACCACCACATCCAGCTAATTTTTGTATTTTTAGTAGAGATGGGGTTTCACCACGTTGGCCAGGATGGTCTTGATCTCTTGACCTTGTCATCTGCCTGCCTTGGCCTCCCAAAGTGCTGGGATTACAGGCATGAGCCACCACGCCTGGCCAAAGTTATATTCTTTTAACTTCTAATTTAACCTCTTGTTCTCCTCTAGCAAATCTACCTTGAAATTTTTTTACCTTTATTTCCTGTGAATCAGCTCTTAAAAAGTGTCCAACTTTGTGCTAGATATCAGATAGGTTAATAATCACACGCAAATTTATGATAATAGATAAATACTTCCTAAATCTACACATAAAAGTAATACCATAGTCCTAAGGGAAAATTGAGAGGTGGAATTTGTCAGAGCAAATCATGGTACGATATATGGCCTATTCTCAAGAGTGAAATGGCCTGCAAAAGTGAATGGTCTTTTCCATGTTGGGTGGGAAAAGCATCCTGTTTTCTGGGGCAGCTTTTAATGTGACGACGCTTTTTGTTTGAAATGCTATCCTAGAACACAAAGGACACCTGTATGCAAAAGCAAATATATAAACAAATCCTATGCCAAATATCCATTACTTGGACTATGTCACTTTGGATTATAATCATTGCTTCATCCTCCCATTCATGCTAATCTTTGAAGATTAGTTCTTTTTTGAAACCACTCTAATCTTGTAATAAACATGCACATATTAAGGATATCATATGGAAAGGAGAGAATATATCCTAAATATATTTATGACTGCTTTTTAAACAAGTGTGGTTATAAAAGGTTGTTTGATTGTGAGAATGTTTGTACTGCTTTGTTGGCAGAAGGAAATTTTTAAAAATGCAATATTTTTAAACAATCCACAGTTCAATAAAAAGGCAATATAAAAAATTAAAAGGCATTACTCTTTACCTGGTACAAATATTTATAAGAAAATACAGCTTAGAATTTAAAAGAGTAATCAGTGATCATAATGTAATTATCTTATGTTAGAATTAAAAAATTGAGACCCGAACAGATCCAATAACTTACCGAAGCCTGGGAAGCTAGTGAATAATTGTCTATTTTCTAGGACAAAAATCTTGCATGTGTAAAGTAGTTTTTGTTTAATATAGATGTTATTTGCTAACCCACCTTTATTATCTAAAGCAACACAAAGTGTATATTTGATGAATTGTCTCAGAAGCTGAATGAGTTTGGGAGATCGAGGAAGGCAGGTAATTAAATTGAGTGATCTAATATATGCAAGTCATTGAGCCAAGTTCTTTATTTTAGCTTTTAGAGAGTTGTGCAACAATGAAACAATTCATGTATTTAGCTTAGTGTTGTGGCAGTCTATGTAAGTTGCCAAAGGTGGTGAAATAAATATAGGAGTTGGGATTTGAACCTAGGTCTTTGTGCCTTGAAGTGCATGTTTTCTGTTAAGCCAGAGTGTTGGGAGATAATTCTCCACAATCCTGACATTATCATGTGTCTTCTCACCCACCAGAAGGGTTTTTGCATTACAAACAGTTTTGGAAGTTAGAGTTAGTGATTCTTTAAAGATAGTTTCAGATAGATATTTCAAGCTGGTAAAGTCTTCTGCCCTTGCTTTTTTTGTTTGTTTGTTTGTTTTGGAGTTTTGCTTAATTTCCAGGGTAAAAAAATCCTAATCTCAGCCACACATGGTGGCTCAGCCTGTAACCCCAGCACTTTGGGAAGCTGAGGTGAGAGGATCACTTGAGGCCAGGAGTTCGACAGCTGCCTGGGCAATATAGCAAGACCCTGCCTCCACAAAATAGTTTTTTTTAAATTAACCATGGGTGATTCCACATGCCTGTAGTCCCAGCTACTCAGGAGGCTGAGGTAGAAGGATCCCTTGAGCCTAGTAGTTCGAGGCTAAAGTGAGCTATGATTGCACCATTACACTCTAGCTTGAGCAACAGAGTAAGACTCTGTCTCAAAAAAACAAACAAAAAAAACAAACCAAACCTCTCTCTTCAGAGGGAATGATGGCCAGGTTTGCCAGCAGCTCCTTCTAAAAGTAGGCATTTACGAACTCCTAAACTCAGTGTCTAGCACCTGCCTGGGATGGCTTCACCTAACTACTCTGGACCCTGAGGGGCAAGGAAAACATACTTGAGCATACTGTGTTGTTATAAGTAAGAAATTATCTGAGTCCATGACACCTCATTGTCTCCTTAACAAACAAATCTATGAACAAGTGGTGAGAAAGCTTTAGGAGTGGCTTGACCACTTGACACTCACAACTTCTCCAAACCACAAATCTGCCTGCTAAATTTGAAGAAAGTGATTCATTCTCTGACAAAGGCGGTGCTCACCCAGCCAAATAATTTAATAATTTAATTCTGGCCATTCCTCTAGCATTTATTTTTTACAAACATTATTTTAAAAAATAATTAGTTTCGAAAAAATGTATGATTTTCCTTAGGCCAAAAAATGTATGATGTTTTTTGCTCATAGCTTAGATTCCATGGAACTCATTAGAAGTCATGGGAAACCAAATAACAGGCATTAATGCAACATAATAACAAAGAAAATGGCAGTTATTTCCTAATTTAATTTAGTTAATTTTCAGTGTAGTTAATTTCTGAAAGCTCTAATTTTCACTGTGGTGTCAGTGCTGTTTGTTAACATTTGGAAAATTATTCTATGCGCATTTCTTTGGGGCTCCCAGTCAAGAAGGTGGCTACCATTTCCAATCAAATGCGCATCTTTTGCCAACTTTGCTGTTTGAACCACCCTCATTATACTACTACTCCCAGCATTCTTGATAAAACATTCATCTACTCCTATTTTTGCTTTCAATTATTGCTGAAGTCGAATTATCTCTGATTCATGACCCAGCTGACACCTAGCTAAGATGCATACATTAAACATTCTTTAATCTTTCTCATTAACAAAATGCTTGATTCTCATAACTGTTGCAGTTGTTCTTTTGTGAGTTGCTTCACATTTAATAGAATCTTCCAAAATGGTAGCGTCTACATTTGAAAAAAAAAAAATGAATGCTAGAAGCATACTCTGTATGCTTCTAACCCATGAAATGATGCATCTATAAGCTGCTCAGAATAAGTCTTGAACCTATTGGCTACCAGTTCACATAGTTCTATTGAATGCCATCTTACCTCAGATATGATTATGCCCCTGCTATGTGCAAGCCTGCCATTACCCACAATTCTGCTACCACTGGATCTGGTGAGTGTGGGCTCCCCAGCCAATTTGCCTGGCCTGCCCTTCTCAGCTGTGCCCTCTGGAGCACAAAACCTCTGGGTTTTGAGAATACTGAAGAGAAAAAGGTTAAATTGAGACAGCCGAGTGGGATGTAATTCTCTAGTCTTTTCAGTAATAACCATGATAAAAAGAAAATGAATATGAGGACCCAGAAGAAGTGTTTGTGTGCGAACAAAAGTTTGTGATCAATTTCTTTTCACTGAAATAGTCTCTGGCATGAATCAGACCATGGCAGACAGAAGTACTCTAGTCCATGTCAGGAGAATTAGCTAGTTTTCCATAGTGGAATGATTTTCTTTTTTTTATGTTAGGCTTCAGAAACAAAATGGTCACAGTTATTCTTTGTCCTATGTTCATACTTTTGTGCCATAGGGGTGAGGCAAATTGAAGATTTTAGGTCACTAATTTCCATGGTATCCTTGTGAGGGAGGACAATGGAAACCAATTTTTCTTATTTCATAGATACTGAGAGAAGCAAATAGAACTCTCTGCAGCCTGTAATTCATTAGTAGTAGAACCCCAAACCTCAACTGAATTTTACAATAGTTCATGGGTATGAGTCAAGCTCTGCAGAAGCCCTAATCCAGGGAGAGAGGGTGTCACTATGCATACTTGGGTGCACTGGGGGTTTGTGATTCTCTCTCATATTCAGTATGATTTCCAAAGAGGGATGGCAGGGTCCAGGCAAGAGAAAATAAGTTAGGGAATTCATATTTGTTTAGAAACAAAGCCAAGGAGAACATTGAAGTAAGTGGCTTATTCAATAAAATAAAGTGCTGTCACCAGTGCCTGATATCATCAAGTTTTTTAGAACCATCTCAGAAAAGGCCTGGCCAAAACCGTCAGCTTCCAGTTTGTCAAAGCGGAAAAGTTACCTGGCAGTGCGTGTTATTATCTTCATGCCTGACATCATTTCACCAGGTTCGCTCCATCCTCCCCTGAAATAAACCTTGCTCAGTATATAGAAGTTCTCTGTCAGGGTTGAGAGAGAAAAAAGGAATAATGGGATTGTATAGACGAGTAAGAGTAATGGAATTGTATAGAAGAGTAAGAGTATAGAAGAGTAAGAGTATGCAATGGAATTGTATAGAAGAGTAATTGTAAATAAGAGTCAGAGTTACATTAGGTGATTTTAAAATCATGGAAGGGAATTTTACTTCATAAAGCCACGGAAAAAAAAGAGGTACATAGCATAGCTAGATAATTCGAGGAAATCCCAAAGAACATATAGATGGGTACAAACAGTTGATAAGAAGTATGTAAGAATAAACAAGTAAATAAATAGCAAATTAAACAAAAAAGTAGTAAAATAAAGCTTGTCTCTTCCAAGGGTGAAATAATCAGAAGTTTGGTATATATAATTAAAGTGAAAACAAAAATTCGAGCAAAAACAAAGAAATTTCAGCTCCAGTGTTGCTGTCTAGTGTGCTTTGGTGTAGTCTGGGCATTTATACCAGACCTGCTTCTGGGTTAAACACACACACACACACACACACACACACACACACACACACACACACGTTTTATTGCTTCTGTTTCTAGTAAGTATGTCTGTCCAGGCCATGATCACTCAAAAAGTACACTGAAAAACAGCAGTTATGAGCACATGAAATTTTCTCAGGGTGGAGCATTGGAGCATTCGTCAAGCCCTGCATCAAGACAAGCAGAGCAGGCAGGCTGTGAGACCTTGGTAATGAGAATTGGAGAGTGGGGAATCTTCAGTGCTGAGGGCTCAATAATTAATCAAAGCAAAAAGTTGTCTTTAAGAAAGGCAGCAGCCACAGCACAATACAAGGGGAGCATTTATGGAACTATGGCTAAATGCAAGAGAAAAAGAAGAGAGGAAAGAATCTCAAAATCATGTTCCCAGTGAATAAGAATGCCAGACACCTAAATATTTGACTTTTCAAGGTGCCTGAGAGCCTAGTAGAGCAGAAATTTAATGCTATGCATGAACCATGTTAACCTTTTATTTTTTTCAGTAAACACATATTCAGAACTTGGAAGCTTAATGTGGTGGGGATTGGATGCTCACAGCCCCCAGGGTCTGGACTCTTTAATGAGGGCTGGCTATTACGCGCCTGCAAAGAGCCAGCCTAATGTGGGTTTTTTATCATTTACTTATCTCCTGATGTCTAGTAGCTCATGGTTCCCTGTGTAATAATAAAAGCGAAGTACACACGCATTTATATTTTTATTCAGATATTCACTAACGTATTAATCAATAATTATTGAACAACTACTATGTGTTAAGCCAAGGCCTGCACGGTGCAGACAGGAGACAGGATAGTACATCAGAGTCACAACTCCAAAAGAAGCACATAAAATATTAGATGGAATGAAGTGCCATGAGAGAGTTGGAGACAAAGTGACAAGGAAATTTAGAGAAAGACAAGATCAATTCTTGTTTGGTAGAAATTAAGACTCAAGGGAGGGATGGTACTGCAGTTGAGTCTCAAAGAATGGTTAGAGTTCTCTAAGGAAGCGACAGTAGCCTCAACAAAACAGAAAAAGGAGAAGATAAACATGGTTATGTTGTCTTCTTTTATGTGAGGTTCTGCTTCTCTATTTTATCTATTCCATAGTCTGTCTGTCTCCCTCCCTCTCTCTCTCTCTCTATATATATATGATATATATATATCATATCTATATATCTATATATCATGTATATCTATATGATATATATCTATATATCATATATATCTATATATATATATGATATAGCCCAGTGCCTTGTAAAATAATTTGAAAACACTGAACAACTCACAATGCATAGATTGTATGATTTGACAGAGAAAGACCACAAGGCAAAGCAAATGGGAAAATTTAGAAGTACTTTTATTTATTTTGTTAAGAGTAAGTGCTTTTTGACAAACTTTCAGTTTGTTACCAAGGAAGGAAAGAAATAGAGGATCTCTTCTGATGGTTACATCATTACTCATATCGTTTACAAAACCACTTATTACTTTCCCTTTGGGTAGCAATCTTGAATTGAAGTTCTTCACAGATGACCTAAAATGGCAATCTGTCCTCTAAGAACTTGCATTTTGAGAGATGACAAATGTTCCCAGGTAACTTAACATCAAATAGGTTATCCACTGGTGCAGGCCACTTTACAATATGTAAAGGGTTTTTACAACACCTTGTTCAAGTCTCATGATAACTCTGTGAAATAAGTTGGGCCAATATTGTCATTATCCTTATTTTATGCAAGGACAAGGACAGTGAGTCTTTGTGATGACAGGGGCCTCTCTAGCATAAAGCAGATAGAAGTGTGAGCACTCCGGATATATTTATTTTGGCTTGCTTTTTTAGCAATTATCACTGAAAGCATCCATCTTTGAATTTCTTTCAACAAATATTTCCAAGTGTGTTACTTAGCCATCTTAAAGTCTCTTCGTTTTTGACTGGATCTTGGCATGGCTTGTACATGCAATGAAATCTGTTTTCTGATATGGGCAATGGTTGCTTTTCAAGTTTTTCTCTAAAGTCTTAAGAATACTCTACTCAGATATGTTCTTCAGAGGTGGGAAATTGAAAATTATTCAATGGTCTTAAGGCATAGATAGCCTAAAGGCTTCCTCCGACTCTTCTTTTTAGCAGTCAGGAATGTAGTGGATGCAATGCAAGATGTCTATAAGATGACTATAGACGATATTGCATACATACATTAAAGTGTTTGCTGTTTTCTGTGTATGTGTTCAAACCATATTTCGGTCTACTGGTGTATATTGTAATTACCTTTAGCACAGAGCTTGAAAAAGAAATCAAACCTAGAGTGTCCCCATTCCCAATTCTTTCTTTTTTTTTTTTTTTTTCTTTTTTGATAGAGTCTCGCTCTGGTCACCCAGGCTGGAGTGCAGTGGCACGATCTTGGCTCACTGCAACCTCCATCTCCCAGGTTCAAGCGATTCTCCTGCCTCAGCCTCCCAAGTAGGTGGGATTACAGGCACACACCACCATGCCAGGCTAATTTTTGTATTATTAGTAGAGACAGGGTTTCACCATGTTGGCCAGGCTGGTCTCAAACTCCTGTCCTCAGGTGATCCACCCACCTCGGCCTCTCAGAGTGCTGGGATTTACAGGTGTGAGCCACCACACCTGGCCCCCATTCCCAAGTCTATCTAGGTTCTCTTCAATTTCTTGGTGCCAATGCTGCATTCCTACTCTTGGATTCTCAAAATCCATAGAGAATGCATCACTGAATATACTTGCAGAGCATGTCAACTTGCAGTGCTAGATGTTCAGTAGCCACAAAGGAAGTCTTCAGCAGTCTCTTTTTTCTGTGTTGTGAAAACCTCCCTGTTGGGGTATATCTAAATTGCTATGGGCAGGTAACAGAGCATTCAGGTCTAGTTAAAAGATTTTTCTTAGTTGTAGAGAAGCAGCGAGATGAACTTTTTTTTTCCTTTTTTTTTTTTTTTTTTTTAGCTGCCCCCAGTTTTTCCCTGAACCCTGGGAAACTTCTAAAGGCCTCTGAAGCCTTGTAGAGACTCTGGGGTAAGCAGGTACTTTCAGTCAGAGCTTTTCCTTTCATGAACTAATCAGATAGCACAGGGCTGGCCTGAGTCCCTCTCCTGGCTGGTGCCATGGAGATTTATTTCTATAATAGGCCCACTCAGTGGGACAGTCCTGCCAGGTTGTTTCTCTTGGATAGGGCGGTTCTGGAGCTGAAAGGTTGTCATTGGAGTAACAATTTCTGAGGGGAGAAAATGTGCTTTTCCAAAATCTTGAGAAAGATTCTGAATTTCTGATCCCAGAAAACCCTTCTAGTCTCGATACTTTGGAATATTGATTCGCATATGCTGTGAAAATTTAGCAAAAGTGAAGGTCAGAGAAATTATTTGGGGGATTGTATAGTCCTACTCCTCTAACAACCTTAAAAAGGCAGAAGAGAGGGGCTTTGCTTTTGCTAAGACAGATAAAGCTACTCTTCAGTTCTGAAAATTACACACAGCTCCCCACCCTATCACAAAGAATTAGTGTCAGGCTGGAGAAAGATAAAGTCCTTTCTTTTTCCTTTCTCCCCATCAGCCTGGCTGTTCCACATATTTACTTAAAAAAAAAAAAGATTCATATTTCGAACCCCATGTATGGTTTGTGAGATAATGGCGCCTCCCTGCAGGGCATGATTGTGGACAGACCTCAGTGCCATGCTTTCATTTTCCTTTCCTGGTAATCTCTAGGCTCATGGATTACACATCAGAGATAATTTTTTGTAATGAAGCTTTCTCTAGGACAGTTTATCTTTTACCTCTGTTTCTTAAAAGTCTATAGTTGATTTTGTTTCTGATCAAAAATATTCAAGCTGACATTATTTCAAAAGATGAATTTAAGAGATTAAATTAAAGAGAGGAGGAAGGAAGATACAGTGTAATTGATAATTAGGTGAACTTCACTGTAGCCTCCTCGGGATAACTCTCTGGTCTTTGAGCTGGATTTTGGAGAGTAACGAGTTTTTATCCAAAACCCACTTTGTAGCCAGTTGGAGTCTCATTCTCTCCTCTCAGTGTGAGCTGTCTTTGGTAAAAGATTTATCAGTGGTAACGGGCCAGCCATTCACCCCTACTCCTCAGACTGCTGTGGACTAATGACCTGAGATGTTCACTGCCACTGAATAATGAGATAAGGATCAAATAGAATCTGGTCTCATCAGCCCACATCAGAATGGGCACATTTTCACAAATTATTCGGGGACAGCAACTGAATTGCTGTCAGCTAACTGGATATATTAGGGAAGGAGAAAGAATAAATTTTTTCCCCCAGATTATTCAGGTGAACTTCTCTGGTCTTGAATTATTTCATAGAGATACAGTGTAAAAATTCTATATAATGTCAATTAAATTTAAGATATACTTTGGCTTACTTTGAACATTGGACAAGGATTCTCTGCTGCACATGAAAGAAAATGATTCATGAAATAATCAGATCACATATTCCATAGCCAAATAATGTGTGAAAGGACAATCCTAAGGTCAGCTGGGCTCTATAAGAAATATCTGAAGTATATTTTCCTATTTTGTTAAATCACAAAAAAATCCATAACTAAATAGATTTAAACAGCAGCATGGACTGCAGTTTAGCTATTGATGAAAAAGCATAGTCTCTGAAGCCAGATCATTTGATTCAGAACTTGTCCCTACCATTTTTAGCTATATAATCACAAGTAAGTTACTTTACCTCTTGAAGCTTCAGTTTCCTCATTTGCAAAAGCACAATAACAGTACCTCCTTAGATTGGTTGCTGTGAAGGTGGAATGAGATACTTAGAACTGAAGTGACCAGATCTGGTTTACTGACTGGGCTTTTCTGTTGTTATGATCTCTAATTAAAGAGTCATGCATAGACTTCTGTTCTATTCCCATGTGCTTGATTGAAAATTTCGTAGCATAAACATTCAAATACTGAAAGTGGCATTCCTCAGCAAGGCGGAGTCATCTGTGAATGTGAGACCACTGCAGGTAATGTGTATCATGTGCTCTTGCCAATAGTATAATATAAACATCAGTCACATAATGTTCAAGATCCAGATGTGTCTCCAGGCATCCAGCGTGGGGAAACCTTTAGGTTGTAGGCCCTAGCAATGCAGAGCCTTGAGCATAGAAGACAGGGAGCACTGCTCACATCCATGCAATTAATGAGGAGATTTCCTGTACTGCACTGAGAGCACCTTCCAGGCTCTAACCCTCTTAGGAGTCATAGTTATAGCACTGAATCCCTTACTTCGAGCTGGTTTGAAATCAGATTCTCTCCGTAACTCTGATCATTCTAACCTCTTGATTCATTATTTATTCTTTTATTATGTCTCTCCCATTCTTCAGACTTTGGCATTGCTTCCCTAGATAGACACTTACTTTCATCCCTAGATTGCATATAGATCCTCCTTATAGGGTCATTGTCTTAAATATAGTTTATAAACTCCTTCTAGTCTAGCCTAACCTTTAGCACTCTATGCCTCAGTATTTCTGTATGTGAGCATTGTTCCCTTTGAATTTGCTGTGATCTTTTATCAGGATTTAGATGTTATAACATTGATATGGGTCTATCTAACTCTTTGTATAAATCTGTTAGTCCCACACCTGGGGAAGGTCAATTGACTGAGGTTCTTGCTTCCTGTGCACGTTCTGTAGTATCACTTACTGTTTGTAGGAACATGGCTTCTCTTTCAGCCGAGTTCCTCTAAGTCTCTCAACATTAAAAATTATAATCAATTATGAGAAATTAGGTTATGCTGCAGTAGCAAGTGATCCCTTACTTACATCATAATTTTTTATAGTAATAAGTACGATTTCAACTCATTCAACATGTGTAACGTGAGTTGGCTTCTGTTCTGTGTCTTCATCTCAGGATTCCAGCTCATGGAATGGCTTCTATCTGGATCATCGTCATTTGGGAAAACTAAATTATATGGCCATGACTCACTTCAACAAAATGGGAATGTATAATTCTCCCACAAGAAGGGGTCATTGTAAGAAAGATTACCAAATGCAAATGAACAATGTGGTCTGCAATTATAGTGAAGATAAGGCTTCACATTATACAGAAGATTCTATCTAGACTTAGAAATTCTTCAGGTCCCTAACACAGGAAGCTCAACTTCTGGCTCTCTGTATCTCCAAATTGCACACGAAGTGGTAAAGTCCAGTAATTCAGAAATTACGGTTTTTAAGTTAATAGTGAAGTAAGCTTACGTCCTTTTTTTTTAAAAAAAAAAAAAAACTCCTTATTTTAGAATTTATTTGAAGAAGGATAGTGGCTATTAGAGAGAAATTGCTTGCAATTGTTCCTTTTGTTACTACCCACTTTATCCAGCTACAAAAGATCAGAAAAAGCAAATCAAGGTCATTTTCTAAATTATGGATTTCTTTGATATTATATAAAAATATGATTTAAATATACCATCAAAAGCTGAGCTTGGTTATAAAGAGAAAAACACATATATAACCAATTTATTCAGATCAAATGGGTATGGTAAAAACTTCAAATAAATATCTGATAAGAAGGAAATACCTGGTAATAATGAAGCTAAAAAAAATAGCAAAATTCTATGTGAACCCATGGGAAATATAACATTACTGTAGTAGAACTGACAACAAAATTAATCTGATGAATGGGAAATGCATAGTATATCAATTCAATAACTCTGTAGTGAAAATACTATTTCACTTTCCCAATAAAGTGCCTTATTTATTTTTTTTAGGAATAGGAATAAAAATAGAGAATTTTAAAAAACCAGGGCTATCTCAAATTCCTTTGAAGGAATAAAATAAGAGCACTGTAACTGATTTTCTGGGGACCATAGAAAACTTGTTTATTTTAGGTTTTATACAAACAAAGGTAGGTGTTCTCAGATCAGATATTGGCTGAGTTTCAGTGAAACTGCAAGAACACTGAATAATTTGGGCCTTGGCTAGACAAGGCTGTATTCCATTGAGAAAAATAATAAATTTCTATCTCTAAAGCTTTTTGGCTATACCAAGGCTTTATTATTATGCCATATTCTCAGTTTAGTATGCATCAAAGATAGTACTTAGTGTATAATTTGCAATGAAATAAATAGTTGCAAGTGAAATAAATAGTTCACAGATGTGACAATTGCAAATGAATCACAATCCGGTTAGACAAAGGATGTAGGAAAGTAATGAGATTCAATGATGGAACATGTGACTTCACCTGTATTTGTGTTTTACCTTTGTCCAGCATGATGCAACACTTTCTTTAACTTATTACTCATCAAATATTCCTAGGAGGAAGTTGCTACCACCAGATGTTTCTAACACTATTTTGCAAATGGAGAAAATGAAGAAGTGAGTTATGAAGTAGAGATATAATGAAGTTGACTAACAAAGTCTAACACGTTCAACTGTTAAACTCTAGCATAATCCACTAAATGTCCAAATTGTTCTCCATTAAGCAGAACCCAAAGAGTGACTTGTAATGTCTACCTTACTTATTCACAGTTTCCAAACTCAGTCATCTTAATAATGCAATTGCTGATGGGGTATTAACAACCCTAAATCTCTTGAAGTTGGTGGGATGTCATGTGGCAAAAGGCTAATTAGAAGAGCCTTGATTGACTTCAGAGGGAAGTTTGGCCACATGCTCAATACCTCTGTGGCTAAGCCTGAGTTCCAAGAGCCTTAGAGATACTCTGAAATGTTTTGCCATTTGGGAAATTAAAATTTACAGTGACAAAATTGCATATCTTTAAAAAAAAGCAAAACAAAACCAAAAGAATGACTTCAATTAATGGGTTAGCTTTGGGAAATGGATTTTTTATTTGTTAACAACCAAGGGACTGGATAAAGATTCATCAATATACACTACCAGGTAATTCTAATTAACTACAGTAAGCAAGGTGTTTGTCTCACTTAGGCTGGGAACCACAGGGGAAAATAGCACTTCCTTCTTAATGCACAGGCATCATCTAACATTCTGCAAAAGAGAGAATTTTGTCTTCCATGGAAATCTTTGATTGCTCTCCAGCTAATATTTTTGTTAATCAGCATTTGATTAGGTATTTTCATTTTCAAAGTACTTTACAATTTTAAATTTTATGATAAAAATATTCTTCATCGCTACTTTGTTTTTAACAAAGTGTAAAAACTTAGAAAGAAACTGGAACTTGGGAGGATAAAGGGTTAAAGACTATGGAGTTTCACATTATGTAGGAATGTAAAGAAAAACTGTGTCACCTAATTGCCAATGTCATCCATCTAATCTATATCTTCTGCCAATTTGGGGTCTTTTATTACTTTTTATTAAAATGACAATTAATGGGTAAGTTATGAAAATTTAATAAATTGATTATTTTTTAAAATTTCCCTTTATATTTTATACAAATGCATAATTTATATACACAATGGGGTGAATATTAATATCTATTCTGTAATTTTTACCTAATAAATATTTTGCCATTTATCTAAATATTGATTAGTTTATTGTCTATGTAACATTTTGTTGTATTAACATGTTATAATTTATTAAACTATTCAGTAAAGCAAAATGCTTATATATTGTTTCCTATTGTTGGAGTTTTTTGCAATATTATTGATAATACTGCAATAATAATTTTTAGATTTCTGCTGAATTATTTCTTAAAATAAATACTAGGAGTGAACACACCGAGTCAAAAGATATGACTGTCCTCAGGCTTTTTTGCTACATATTTTTCTTTTGCTTTATGCATGAATTACCGATATATAATGCAGAGATTAATAAGTTAGTGTACATTTTCACCACAACATTGGCAACTGTGGAAGTTGTGACAGAAAAAAAGAATACTTCATTAAATGCTATATAGTGTTTCAGGATTACTTAAATTTCCATTTCTTTGACAACTAGCTGTTTTTAAGCTAATTAAAGCCTCTGGAATCATTAACGTTTGATTCTTCGAGATTTTCAGGTGAGCGTAAAATTTAGATTCAGGGACTTCATGAATGGAACTTGTTATACAGAGGCATATTACTAAATTAAATTATTTATAAGGTTGAACTCAGTTCCTTATAAAATATACCAAAAGAACCTTGTTAAAAGAATGATCTCATATTAAAGAGGCTTGAAATGAATTCATTATAACAAGACATGTACCCCAGGGCATGGCTGCAGTATTTCAGATTTTATTTGTCTTTGATTGAAAACTTGATTTATTAATGGCATTTCACTGATTCTTTTATCGATGTGCATGGTATAATTCATGTTCATCTTCCTTTCAGAAAGGCCACTGTAAGAAAATTTTGTTTGTTTGATCTTTTTCTGGTTTCAGAGTTTATTAATGAGCTCTATATAAGGAATAAAGGGAAAAATTGAAATACTTTTCAGGAGGTAGATCCTGTTACAGGCACTTTAGGCAGGGCTAGAAAGTGAGAATTGGGTCACTTATTTTATAATGCTAATATCTCCTGGTTTTGAGGGGTCAGTTGGAACCAAGGATCAAATTCCCTCTGCAGTGTTTTTGTTCAGTGGTCACAGAGCCTACACTGGAATATCTCTGTGGAGTGGGGTTCATCGTCCTCTAGTTTTGACTTATTAGTTATTTACATATTCAACTTCATTTCATCTGTGCAGTAGCCCTCATTTAAAAAAAAAAGTCAGTGATAGTCAGAGATGTTACATAATGTGTCCCTATTCACATAGCAGGTATCTGTTAATATCAGTATGTTTAAAAAAAAAAAATTCTGCCCTCAGATGCCTATGTCATGTTGTTTCTGGTCTTTGGCAGCAGACATTACAAATTAAAATGTACTTCCTTATGGCAGCCTCTCATATGTTTGAAGGTTTCACTGCTGTCTCTCATGAACCTCCTCACCTGTAAGGTTAGATGTCACCGTATCTGCCAGTGCTTCAATCTTGGACTTCCCAGCCTCTGGAACTTTAAGAAATTCTGTTGTGTATAAGACACATAGTTGATTGTGTTTTGTTACAGCAGCCCAAATGGACTAAGACAGAAACTTGGCACTAAAAAGTAGGGTTGCTACTGTAACAAATACCTAAAAATGTGGAGACGGCTTTGGCACTGGGTAATGTGTACAGTCTGATAGAGTTTTGAGGTGCATGGTAGAAAAAGCCTGCAATTGTCAAGAATGAACCATGAAGGGGATTCCACTGAGGGTGAAGAAAGAAAAGAGAGATGCTGTAGAGAAAGTATCAGTTTTCTTAGAGAAGATCTAAGTAATTCTGAACAAAATGTTGGTAGAAATATAAATGTGCAACCCAGGCAGAGAATCCCCAGGGACATAGGATCACCATAGAGTGCTCCCAATAGGACAGTGCCCAACGGAGCTGTAAGGGCAGTGTAGCCCCCGAGACTACAGACTGGTAGAACCACCAGCACATAATACCAGCCCATTAGAGCTGCAGGCACACAAGTTTAACCATGAATGCTGCAGTGTGGGCTATGCCCAGCAAAACCTTGGGGTCAGCACCGCCCAAAGCCATGGAAGCAGGGCCACCTAGAGCCTTGCAGGCAGAACACCTGCCCAGCAAAGCTGCAGCGGTGGGATCTCCACCTCCGTGTGTCCACAAGGTGGAACTTCCACCCAGTGGTTCTGGAAGGCAGTACTGCAGCCCCAGTGGATCCAGTGGGTCTAGAGGACAAAGCATTCAGTTAAAGAAGGTTATTTTCAAGCCTTAAGGTTTAATGTTGTTTGCCCTATTTGGGTATTGGACATGTTCAGGACCTGTCACTCCTTTCTTCTTTTCTATTTCTCCCTTTTGGAATGGGAATGTCTATCCAATGCCTGTCCCAACGTTGTATTTTGGAAGCAGATAACTCATTTGATTTTACAGACTCACAGCCGGAGGAGAATTGGCCTCAGGATGAATTATACCTTAAGTCTCATGCATATTTGATTTAGATGACATTTAGATGAGACTTTAGACTTTTGAGTTGATGCTAGAATAGTTAAGACTTTTGGGGCCTTTTGAAATGGAATGAAGCTATTTTGTATATGAGAATGACATGCATTTTAAGGGATAGGGTAAAACACAATGGACTGAATGTTTATGTCCCCTTAAAATTTATATATTAAAATTCTAATCTCTAAGGTGATGGTATTAAGATATGGAGTCTTTAGCTGGTGATTAGTTCATAAGTTCAGAGCTCTCGTGAAGGGAACTAGTGCCCTTATAAAGACAACTTCATAGAGATGCCTCGCTCCTTCTGCCATGTGAAATTACAGTAAAGAGATTTCCCTCTATGGGAAAGCAGGCCTCATCAGACACTGAATCTGCTGGCACCTTCATCTTGGACTTGCCAGCCTTCAGAATTATGAGAAATAAATTTCTGTTGTTTATAAGCTACCCAGTCTATGGTACTTTGTATAGTAGCCGAATGGACTAAGATACCATGTCTTTCAATCCTGCTTTATCTGACATTTTTTTCAAATATCTTTCCCACTCTAATTTCACATCAGTTTTCTGATTAGCCTCTTAAAAATCATGCATTATAATAACAGCACTTATTAATTGCAATCCATGTGTAATGCTAAGTGCTTTACTGTAATATACACATTTTATACCCATGTTACAGATACTGAAGAAACTGAGACATAGGGATTTTAAAACACATCACATCACAGAGCCAAGAATTGGCAGGGCTGAGATTCTGATACAGGATTGTGTTGTTCCAATTCTCATGCTTTTAACTACTTGGCATTATGCATAGTCATGGTGTTACCAGTTCAGAATAAAGTGGGGCTATTGATGGCCTTATTCTAGATACTACCATACTACTTCCATTGAGGCACCCACACTTTCCTTTAGAATTTTTTTGACAGTCAAATTAGTCTGTGGGCCCATGGTAGGCCAGCTTCTTGTCTGCCTACTTATCTAAGTGGGCCAACTTCCCTTTGTTTGGTTTTTAGTTTTAAATTTTTTTTCTATTAAACTAAGTCATCTACAATTGGTGTCTGAGTCCAAATGGAACACTGTTCCTTTATCTTACTTTATTTACGAAAGTATCTGGGGTAAATACCATTATTTACACCCACACCCTCTCTCTGAGGTTCCAGTCAGACACAAAATTTTCAGAACACCTCAGCAATGGAGAAGATAAATGACTTTAAACATATCCTCCAAAAAAATAAATTTTTTAACTAAAATAAAATTGAGAATAAATATGCATTTTCCCTTATCAATAATTGAAACTAATTAGGTTACTTGTTTCTTACTTACTACAGTGATGGATATTGAAAGATATAGTATTAAACAGATGGCTTTTGTAATTAAAATGTAAAAACCAAATTTTTGAGATGATGCTTTACTTACATTAAAGAAGAACTGTCATTTACAAATCCTAGTTATTATTACTGTTTAAATTCAGCGCTGTATATGCGGAACTTTTCTTCACCTTGCATTTTCCTAAATCTTCTGATAATAAAACGAATAAGAGGCTTTTCACATGCAATTCCTTCACAATTTAGGAGAGCATATATGAAAACAGGTTGTGCCATTGCATCAGCACTAGTGGTAGTAGTAGTTAACAGTAATAATAACAGAGACAGTGACAGTAGTAGGTATCTTGTGAGCCCATTGGTAATTCAAAACAGCTTAACTTATACTTCAGTGTTCCCAAAAGCAGAAGATCTGGTCATTGTATAGACTCTCTCTTCCTGTCTCCCTTACCTCTGGGCCAAATCATTTTCCTCAAAAACTAGACCTCAATTTTACATGTAAATGAGATGAGTGGAAGAAACTTTTGTCTAATGTTACCTCAATTTTATTTGTTTTTGTAGATTATTTGCTGGAACTGAAAAAAGTAGGAGTTGGATTTTCATAGATAAAGTCTATGAAAATTTGGAGAAAAACACCCTAGAAAATGTACTAAGATGTCAACCAGGGTTATATAGTATAATTAGGGATTGACAATGAAGATATTGCTTCTACTTCAAACCGAAACATATAGTGGCACATGTCTATACAGCTATGTAATTTTCTTTTGCAGGCCTTAGCAATCCTGGTGTGGAAATAGAGAATGTATTTGTAGAATTAGCGGAGTGCAGTGGCTCATGCCTGTAATCCCAGTACTATGGGAGGCCAAGGCGGGTGGATCATCTGAGGTCAGGAGTTCAAGACCAGCCTGGCCAACATGGTGAAATCCTGTCTCTACTAAAAATACAAAAAATTAGCCAGGCATGGTGGTGGGCACCTGTAATCCCAGCTACTAAGGAGGCTGAGACAGGAGAATCACTTGAACCCAGGAGGCGGAGGTTGCAGTGAGCCGAGATCTTGCCACTGCACTCCAGCCTGGGTGACAGAGTGAGAATTCGTCTTAAAAAAAGAAAAAGAAAGAAAAGAAAAGAAAAAGAAAATGTACTTGTAGAATTGGTACAAATATGGGAATTTATATGAAGATATAAGCTGAGAAGCAAGTAAAGTGGGGGCATGGAATATAAAGGGTGCAGAAACGGATCCAGGAAGGTGGTGAAAGGAATTGACATTGGGAGAAAGCTGATAGAAAGTTGCAATGTCAAGGGACTAGAGGTCTCAATGAGATCAAATGACAGATCTAATGAGGCTAAGGAAGAATAGAGGAGATAGATAAAAATAGGAGCATATTATTGAAGCAAGACAGTGAAATGTATGACTTTGAAGTAGAGTGTCGACGTTCAGTGAGAGTGGATGCAGATATTGAGAGAGCATAGGGTGAGACTATGGGAGTGATTTGCTCAGATTCAGATATCTGAGAGACAAGATTATTTGACAGGCAGAGATGAAAAATTGAATGTTACCTGAGTAGTAAATGACACAATCTCAGGTAAAATGACGGGGAAGTGCAAGGAATTAGGAACGGAAGGAAAAGAGAATAAAGATTTCAATTTAGTGAGAGCAGACAATTTTTACAAATAATTTTTGTACAATGCTCTCTTCTTCATCTTCTTCAGCTTTTTTTCTTTTTTCCTCCTCTTCCTCTTTCCCCGACCCACTTCTCTTCATTCTTCATTCTTCTCCTCTTTCTTCTGGATGTTTTGATGGTAAGCTGTGTGAGAAAATAGCAATTCTTACTTCAAGGCTAGATAGGCCTCATGAATTTGCAGCAGAGTATTCAACAAAAGAAAAAGCAAGTTAAACTACAGGATTGAGTATTGCCATTATTGTTCAAAAAGAGGTGCTGTGTGTCTGGTTGATCGGTTATGTACATTCCTCCAAGTCACTTGGTACAGAGGATGCTTAATGGAAAAATGATCTCCACCACTAAAAGAAGAACTAATTACCTTTCTTTCCATTTGGGCAATAAACTAGAACTCAATATTTTAGTAAATATGGTTTAGTATATTTTTAAAATATTATTATTGTAATTTTTAATATATTGATTTTTTGCCTCTTCCCATGATGCATCTAAATAAATATAAATATTCCAGGTAACAACTGATGTTTAGTCTCACTGTCAAGGAAAAGAAAATTCAGATAATTCACCAGATAGTACTTCAAATGTTTGTTTTACTCTCATATCTCTATCTCAATTTCTATGTCTCTCTATCTCTAGATCTATAACAAATAAAATATTATATGTAAATAAATATAATTATAGAATACAAATATTAAGTCTATATATTACATATAATACATAATATGTAACATACAAAATATATAATACCATCATCCTCTACACAGCAACATTTCAGTCAATGACAGAACAAATATATGACAATGGTCCATAAGATTATAATACCATCTTTTTACGGTACCTTTCTATGTTTAGCTATGTTTTGATACACAAATACTTAACATTGTGTTACAATGGCCTCCAATATCAGTACAGTAACATGCTGTCTAGGTTTACAGCCTAGGTGTGTAGTAGGCTATAGCATCTAGGTTTGTGACGTACACTCTGCGATGTTCACCTCGTGAAATTGCCTAATGAAACATTTCTTAGAACATATTTCTGTCCTTAAGTGATGCGTGACTGTATATATAATGTATATTATATTTTATATTATATGTGTATGTGTGAGAGAGAGAGAAAAGAGAGAGAGAGGTGGCATTTCAACTGGATTTAGTCTACTTAGCATTATTGTATCTTCCCAGAATCACAAAATCTGCCAGATGTAATATGTGAGATTTTTTATTTCTTAAAGTTTCATATTACTAATTTTGTTGTATCATAGTTTTTTTCAGGAGGAGTATAATTTGTTGTTTTTTTTTCCCTTAGGAACAGAATAAGCTATAGAACTGTTAAAATGTACTCTTCTCCCACCAACAGCAGTAACATATACACACGTACACACATACACGCATATGCATATATATATATCTAGGGTTTGGGGTTCCAGTCTTCTACCAGAGGCCCATAACTCTCTGAAATATGAGTTGGCCTTTCAATTTGGCCCAATCTCACCCCAAAGGTAACAATTCTGTGCTCACATTTCAAAAAGGTTTAAGATACTGCTGAAGACGGAGTCTGATAAGCAAATTTTTATATAGTTCTGCTTGCTCTCTCATTTTTCTTTTTCTCTTTTCGTTTTAAATAATGAAAGAAGTAAGGCTGAAAAGGGCAAACGCTTTAGGTTTTGTCCGGCAGTCTGGGATTTCTCTGGTGAAAAATATATCCCAATTCCCTGGAATGTCAAATCACAGCTGAGTTGGTCACTAGAACCAGGACACATACGAGCTTCTGGGAGAATTGGCCTACTTCTCTTCTTAGCATGCACATTTACAACTTGAAACTATATATTTTTTAACCTAAAATTTGTTTTAAAAGAAGAAATAAAATTATTATTTTTCACCTCCAAGAGAATTTAAGCCACATATTTGAAAACTGTTTCTCTAAAGAAAGATCAAGAAGGGAAGCAAATGAAGCAGAAATAGGATATCATATTTTTACACAATTATTTAATTCAGAAGTTGTAAGTAAATGTCCATTGTGTAGAAAATTGCATGTGACTGATCAATAGTGCCATTGCTAATATTAGCATCTAATGGTTGGCTTGAAAAGATACAGCTTGGATGCCTTAGGCTATTATCCTGAGTAGCTATAGGATGTTTTTGTGTAGAAAAACTTCACAAGCATTGGTGTTTTTTTCATCTGTAAATTTAGAGGTAGATAGAAGCAGAATATGACTTTAAAAATATCTTACAAAGGTAGGGTTCTTGTCTGACCTGCTCATAAGAGTGCTCAGCATTATGTTTGACACAAAATAAATTCTCAGCAAATATTTATTGAATTAATTAATGAGCAATTGAGTTTTGGTTAGGAGGCTTGAATGTTGTCATAGAAATGCTAAATGGTTTTGTTGAAATTATTTAATACCTTTGTTCAGCTTCTTCCTCTTAGAGCTCCTGTGTATATTATAACAATAAGGTGTTGATCCAAAGAGTGTTAATAATTCACATAGGAATATAGTATATTAGTATTATTAATATTATATGTATATTACCATTCTTGCTCAATTTTGGAATCCTGATTGTCTCTATCACACTGTCATCTCAAATTTCAGTCATGTATGTCAATACAGAATGTTTTGAAAAATAATCTGGTAATAGTATCATTTGTAGTGGTGTTGCTATTGAATTATAATATGAAGTCATAACATAATACATTTCTATCAACATAAAAAATTATTCAAGCCATAAATATCTATTGAATTCCTAATCTATATCAATTGTTATTTGAATCACTGTGGATATAACAATAAATTAGACAAGATCTCTGAATTTACTGCACTTGTATTCTAGTTGAGGATGGTGGTACATATAAATATAGATTAAAAGGAAGTGAAAATAAAAGTGCTTAGAAAATGACAAATAGGCTAACTGTGAAAGAAAGTGGTGGAGAGACGAGAGTTATTTTAGTTCGGGTGGTCAGAAAGGTCTCTCACAGGAGATGGTATTTGAGCTGAGCCTGAAGGTATGTGAAGAGACCAGTGCAAAAGTCCTAATGTGAGAATGAGTTTGGGAGGTTCAGGAAACAGCGATATATTTATTGTGTCTGAAGTACAGACAGCAAGTGGAGAATAATGTATTTGTACCAGGATTTGATGCACAAAATAAAAGTAGTGCATTTTACCTCTGTCATTTAAAAAGTTATTTCCTGTAGTACTGAAAGAGGAAGAGAAGCTCAAATATGATTTGAGTTTGAGAATTTATTCCAGCACATTGTTTCATTTGACTTCCTGGGTGTGCTGGGTCCTCATTAGGCCACTGACACTAAGCAGTGGTCAGCAGCCCATAGCAGGCAAACATGTGAACATACTCTGGCTTTGCAAACAAGAAGTATTCAGACAGAAGACTGAGTTTTGCATGTATTTCGTGCTTTTTCTTTCAGAGTAAATGAAATAATGAAGGCCAATGAAGAGGGTTTTAAGAATGAGAAAGTGGACTCTGAGGACATTAGTATGTCTCTGAAGACGTAAATATGTTCTAACACAGGCTTAGTCGTCATAAAATGTTGTAAGAGGTGAAAATAAATGCATTTCACAACATCAGAAAAGGAGATGGAGTTAAGATTCATAAATATAATTAAATGCTAACTTAAAAATTAGGACAACAAAGAAAAATCAAATGTGGAATTTTAGTAGTCAGTTAAGGCTTCAATTATGAAAATTTTAAAACATACATAATACTATTAAAAATGGTGTAATGAACTTTTACGTACCCATCACCAACTTTGACAATTGTCAAAGTTTTTCCTATGTTTTTTCACCTAACCCTCACTCCTCCAATTTCTTTGGAATATTGTAAAGCAAATCCCAGTTATCACATTATTTCACCCATAAATACTTTAGTATAGGTCATTAACAGATAGGGCATACTTTAAAAAATATTACTACAAAGTCATTTTAACATATTACAAAATTAGACATTTTTTCATATCATTTAATACCCACACTTCATTCAAATTCCCTAATTATTTTAGGTCTGACTTTTTGTAGTTGATTTGTTCAGATCAGGATCTGAAAAACCAACCAACATTGAATTTGGTTGTAATCTCTCTTTAGTCTCATTATATTATGGCCTTCCTCCTCTAACCTTTATATTTGTTGTGAAATTGGGCCATTTGTCTTGTGAAACATCCCATATTCTGGATTTGTCTGATTGTTTCTTTTTGCTGTTGTTTAAATTGTTCCTTTAGTCGACAGATTTCTCCTAGTTGGAGCTTGATTAGATTCAGAATCAATATTTTTTTCAAGAATATTTTATAGCCAATAGTTGTTACATCTACAACACATGTTCGAAGACAGGCACCAAATATCTGCTCATCCGACTTTTACTGATGCTAAGATTGATGGATGGATTCAGGCGCTGTCAGCCTGGCCTCATCTGTTACAAACTTTCCCATTAACATTCTACCTAGTAATCACTGAATGTTCTCACTCATAAGTGGGAGCTGAACATTGAGAACACATGGACACAGAGCGGGGAACAGCACATACCAGGGCCTGTTGCGGGGTCGGGGTGAGAGGAGGGAACTTAGAGGATGGGTCAATAGGTGCAGCAAACCACCATGGCACACGTCTACCTACATAACAAACTGGCACATTCTGCACGTGTATCCTATTTTTTATTTAGAAGAAAAAAATACTGCACAGCGGAGCACAGCACTGGGATCAGAGAGCAGGCTCATCCTCAATCTTGTGCAAAAAATAACATTTGATGATTCCCAAGGGGTGGGTGAAGCAAGTAGCTTTTGGGGTTCTGGAAGTCTCTAGAACTGTTTCCCAAATGTTTTGGGCTTGGCCTTGCAGTACACACTTTGTCCTGGTCTGTTTTTCCTTTAATTTGTAGGCCCAAGTGTATTTTAAGGTAAATGGATCCCACGTGCCTCCAATGCATTTACGTTGAACTCATCAGCCCATGTTTTGAAGGAGCAATCTGAGTTCCAAGAAGCCTTTGGAGGCTGCCTTTATGAGCCTCTCTGTGCTTCTTTTCTTAGAAGCAGGAAGCCGCATTTTGTCATGAAGAAATAAAACGCAAGCCCCACAGACTCGAAAAATATATATATTTTACCTAGTGATCTTAGTATCCACTGATAAAGTATTGCCTATAAATATTATTTCGTTAGGGGTTATAAAATAGTAATTTTAAATTACATTATTCCATTTTCCACCTAGAATTCTTTCATAAAAATAGTCCCAATCAACTATTTGGCTACCCTGAATTGCACTGAACTATTTTAAACTCTCATTTATGGAATTTAAAAAAGCCAGTTGAACTGTGCAGTATAGACAGAATAGTGGTCTATTTATCTCTTTGTCTTTCTGTCTGTCTATTTTAGATGCTGCCTCTGGCTGAGGACCCAAAAAGGCTCTACAGAGAAGCCTTTGTTTGGGTTGGCTTTCTTCTTTCCTTATATGTAATAAAGTTCACAGTTCTAAAGTGTGCAGCTTGACAAATGTTAAGAGTTACAGGTACACATGTAGCTTTCATCTGAAACATGATATAGAGCATTTACATCACCACAGAGAGTTTTCTGGTGCTTTTTAGTCAATTCCACTCTTCTCCAAGAGGTAATAACTTTCAGATTTATGATTTGTATCTTCATAGATTAGCTTTTCCTCTTTTTGGACTTTATATGAATTAAATCATACAGTATGGGTTTTATTTTTTATTTTTTAGCAGTGGGAGGTAGATATCTGGTTACTTTTGCTTAACACAACATATTGCAGAGTCATCCGTGTTGCCGTGTGTATCAGCAGCTCATTCTTTCCTATTGCTGAATATTATTCCATTTTATGAACATACCACAATTTGTTTATAAATTCTCCAGTTGATGGATATTTAGATTACTTCTGGCTCTTGACCGTAATGAGGAAGGTTGCTATGAACATTCTTTTACAAATGTATTACATGGACATATGTTTTAATTTTTCTTGGGTACATCCTTAAGAATGAAGCTTCTAGACCTACAGAGAATCGATCTTTCACCTTTATTAAGGTATAACTAAATTATACTAAAATTCACATACTTAAAGTATATAATTTGATCAGTTTGAAACCGTAACTACAATCAAGATAAACATATCCATTACTTCCCAAAAGAATTCTGTAACAATCTTAATCCAGTTATACCTCAACACCTCATCCCTAAGAACCACTGTTATGCTTCCTGACAGTATGAATTAGTTTGCAATTTCTAGAGTTTTATATAAATGGAATTACAAATTTGCCTTGCCTCTTTCACTTAGCATAATGAATTTGAGAATGGTCCATGTCGTTATGTGTTTTAGTAAGTCATTTCTTTTTATTTATGAGTAGTGTTCCATTGTATGGTGAACCACCATTTGCTTATCTATTTGCCTGTTGATAAATATATGTGGGTTATTTTTCCAGTTTTTGGCTATTATGAATAAAGCTGCAATGAATATTTATAAAAAAGCATTTGTATGGACATTCAATTTCTTATCTGTTCGGTAAATACCTAGTTGTAAAATGACTAGGGTTATAAGGTAGGCACATTTTGAAGTTTTTATGACACTAACAAACTTTTATCAAAAATTTCCAAATTTTTTTCCAAAATGGTTGCAGCAGTCTTATTAAAATCATATGAGAGTTGCTGTTGGTTCACACCTCTGCCAATACTTAGAATGACCAGGAGTTTGGATGGTGGTGGTTGTTTTTAATTGTAGTCATCCTAATAGGCATACAGTTGTATATTCTTGTTTTAAATTTTCATTTCCCCGATGGCTAATTTTATGTGCATATTGGTCATTTATATATTATTAAATATTTTATCCAACTTCTTATTGGGTTGTTTGCCTTCTTATAATTAAATTCTAAAAATTATATATTCTGCATACAAGTTCTTTGATATATGTATTGTGAATATATTCTAGCAGTCTGTGTTTGCCTTATTAACTTAATGGTGTCTTTGGAGAGCAGTAGCTTTTAATTTTGAAGAAGTCTAATTTATCAGTTTTTTTCTTACATGACTCATAATATTGTATTTTAAGGAAATTTGCTTACCACACAATCCTAGGAGTTTCTCCTAGGAGTTTTATAGTTCTCAATTTTACACTGAGAACTGTAATCCAATTTAAATGAATTTTTGTGTATGGTATAAGGTAAGGGTAGATGTTCACATTTTCCATATATTTAATCATCTGTTGAAAAGTCTTTCCTTTTCTTATTAAACTACTTTAACATCTTTGTCAGAAATCAATTTATAGATGTTTTGCCTATTTCTGGACTCTCTTCTATGTTCTTTTGATCTATCTCTGTCTTGTATGAAACACCCAAACTATTTTGATTACTGTGGTTTTCTAGTAAGTCTTGGAATCAAGAAGAGTAAATCTTTGTTCTTCCTTTTTAAAACTGCTTTGGTTATTCTTGATCCCTTGCATTTCCATATAGATTTCAAAATCAACTTGCCAATTTTTACTAAAAATTCCTGCTAGAATTGTGACTGCGATTATGTTGAATCAATGTACCAGTATGGGAAGAACCATCATATTAATATTGACTCCCATCAAGTAATTTTTGACAAAGCCATTGCATTTTTTTAAATGGGAGAAAGATTTGTTTTTATTGTTTTTAACAAAAGATTCTGGAACAGTTGTATATACACATAGGGAAAAATGATTTTCATTTCTATCTTATTTCATACTTTAAAATTAAAATGATCACACATTTAAACATGAAACCTAGAACTATAAGGCTCATGAAGAAAATACAAGAGAATAAATTTGTTATCTTGTGGAAGATGAAGATATCTTAGATTGAACTCTTAAAAGACTAACCACATTAGGAAATAAAAATCTAATAAACCTAATAAATTGGAGATTGTAGAAATTAAAAACATCTGCTTGTCAAAAGACATAAGAAAATAAATAGGCAAGCCATATTCAAAATGCATATCTGACAATTAAATTGTATCAAGAATATAGAAAGAACTTCTAAAAATCAATAATAAACAGATAAACAATCTAATTAAAAATGAGCAAAAGTATTGAACTGACAATTTACAAAGGAAGTTATATGACCAGCCAGTAAACATATGAAGGGGTGCTTAACATCATTAGTCATCCTGAAAATACAAGTTGAAAACCCAATGAAGAATCTAAATGGAAAAAGCTGTGAGACACCATTTCACACCTACTAGAACAATTATGATTAAGGAAAAAAAAAGACAACATAAAATGATGTTGAGGATGTGTAGTAACTTTAATCTTATATGTGCTGGGAGAGTGAAAAATGGCACAACCATTTTTGAGAACTGTTTGGCTGTTTCTTGTAAAGCGAAATATACTTCTATCCTAGCCTATAATTTTAATTCTTATCTCTTGTATTGTTATCTAGGCAACCCTGGGTCTTTTCAGGGCCACAGATAAACCTGGCTGTATCTTTATTACCAGAAGCTGATTAATATACCTCTCTTTTTGAACATTCCTGGGGCCTCTGTGAATCTTGTGGAGAAAGGGACGTTAGTACCTACCTAGAGAACCACGCTAAAATATGCTCAGCTTGTACCCACTCGAGGATCTGAGAACCGTAACAATTCTCACACTTGAGATAGAGTTACTCCCAGTTGATTTCTAGCTGTATTTCAAGGTGACTCTCATCCTTTATCACTTTTGCTACGAGAATCAGAGCCAATGAAGTGACCACCATAGGCAACATAAAGACCTAAAAATGTTGAAGAAAACAAAGGTAGAAGAAGGAGGACCTGGAGGGTAAGGAAGAAAAGAGGTGAAAGAAAAAGAGAACCAAGTTAGCCTGATAGGCAATGATTCCTGCATTCTAATAGTATATTTAAGGAATGAAATAAAATAAAAAGTAGAAAAAAGTAGGCCTAATTAGTATTTGCTCTTTTTATACTTATATTGTGATCTGCTGAATGGAGTACAGGGCATTTTTCTGTAGAATTCCCATATCTGCAGTTGTGCCACTTTTTTTTTTCTTTTTTTACTCAAAATGACTTCCATTGGTCCCTGGAAAGTTTCATTTTGTTGATTTCTGATTACCTTTCCAATTTAACAATGTCATTTGAATTCAAATACCATCCTCCAGAGTGCCGCCTTCCCTGAACCTTCTTGAGTTTCATTTGTAAGTTTGGGAATAAACTTTCTATTACAATTTCATGGGTGGAAATATTAAACATGCAGTTTGAAATGCATAATAAAATTCCCTAAACGATTTCAGGGCTTCACAAACATTAAGAATAATCAAACACACAGTGTCCTTATGATTTAAGTTTTAGAATTTTGATTTCACACTAAAACATCAGACCCTCATATTGTATGAATTACTGTCTATACACTGCTAGAAAAGAATTCTGATGACCAGACACAAAGCGAAAACTCAGTTCATTCCAGCCTAAAGCCAAGGGTAGGGATAGAGAATAAGAGTAGAGCTATACCTCTGAGCCAGATTTACTCAGAGATGTTTGTTAAATAACAAATCAAAAATGCAAAGCTAAGATTGTACTTTATTGCAACATGTAAACAGTTTATGAATTACATCATATTTGAAATATGTGAAACATTTTAATTTACATCTGATGTTTAAAATATTTTCTCAAAGAGAAACAGGTGTCCATTGCACTTAGACTAGCAGCTCTATTTGTTGAAGCTGACAACAGTTTTAAATTAAAAGGGAGATTGTGTCATTTACCTCAAATTTTGGAGTGATAGGCTAAGAATCTTTTCCCAGTTTTGCCTCATCTACTAGGAAAACACATAATGTTTCCCTACTCTTCCTCTTCAGTGCAATTTAGAGCCTTTTCAGGGGCTGTATTGCCATCACGGGGGTCTAGTGTCTCCTTGGGGAAGAAGGAAGTCATGAGATGCCTGGATTCCTGATTGTTATGGCTAAAAACTGACTGTATAGCTTGTTCAAGTTGAAATCTCTGAACACCTTTTCAAAAATAGTGGTTGTGTTAAGTATCTTCTAAATTCTCTTCTACTCATGAAATCATATTCCTTGACTCATTAATCATTGTTTTTCTTATCAAAAGTGCAATAAAATATTAATCCTCAATACACAAAACACTACCACAATATTACTCAATACCTGTAAATACAGGATCTGACACTCTTTCATATAACAATAATAGTAATGGTGTTGTGAGAAGTCAGGGACCCCAAACAGAGGGACCGGCTGAAGCCATGGTGGAAGAACATAAATTGTGAAGATTTCGTGGGCATTTATTAGTTCCCCAAATTAATACTTTTATAATTTCTTATGCCTGTCTTTACTGCAGTCTCTAAACATAAATTGTGAAGATTTCATGGACACTTATCACTTCCCCAGTCAATACCCTTGTGATTTCCTATGCCTGTCTTTACTTTAATCTCTTAATCCTGTCATCTCATAAGCTAAGGAGGATGTATGTTGCCTCAGGACCCTGTGATGATTGCGTTAACTGCACAAATTGTAGAGCATGTGTGTTTGAAAAATATGAAATCTGGGCACCTTGAAAAAAGAACAGGATAACAGCAATGTTCAGGGAACAAGAGAGAAAACCTTAAACTCTGACCGCCAGTGAGCCAGGCGGAACAGAGCCATATTTCTCTTCTTTCAAAAGCAAATGGGAGAAATATCGCTGAATTCTTTTTCTCAGCAAGGAACATCCCTGAGAAAGAGAATGCACCCCTGAGGGTAGGCCTCTAAAATGGCCCCCTTGGGTGTGGCTGTCTTCTATGGTCAAAACTGTAGGGATGAAATAGCCCCAGTCTCCCATAGTGCTCCCGGGCTTATTAGGACAAGGAAATTCCTGCCTAATAAATTTTGGTCAGACCAGTTGCTCTCAAACCCTGTCTCTTGATAAGATGTTATCAATGACAATGGTGTCTGAAACTTCATTAGCAATTTTAATTTTGCCCCAGTCCTGTGGTCCTGTGATCTCACCCTGCCTCCATTTGCCTTGTGATATTCTATTACCTTGTGAAGCACACGATCTCTGTGACCCACAGCCTGTTCGTACACTCCCTCCGCTTTGAAAATCACTAATAAAAACTTGCTGGTTTTGCAGCTTGTGGGTCATCACGGAACCTACCAACATGTGATGTCTCCCCAGGACGCCCGGCTTCAAAATTTCTCTCTTTTGTACTCTGTCCCTTTATTTCTCAACCCAGCTGACGCTTAGGGAAAATAGAAAAGAACCTACGTGACTACTGGGGGTAGGTTCCCTGATATAATGGTAAACACTTATTAAGTGTTATATGCCAGATACTGCTCTAAGTGACATATATATTCATTTAATCATCAAGTAAACCCAGTTTACAGAATATGAAACTGAGCAGAGAGAGGTTAAATGTCTTTCCTGGTAAATAGATGACAGAGTTGAGAGCCAAACCACACCATCTGAACCTGGGTTTCATGTACTTAACCACTTTCTACACCCTGGCTTTTGTTGTAGTGAACCATGAGTCCTAATCTGAAGAAGGCACTTTCTGATCTCAGAGTCGTGAGAACAAGAAGCCTAAGTTAAGCAAAGGTTTTTAACCAGTTTTTCTTTTTTGAGACAAGAGTTTTGTACCGCCACCCAGGCTGAAGTGCAATGGTGCAATCTCAGCTCACTGCAACTTCTGCCTCCCAGATTCAAGCGATTCTCCTGCCTCAGCCTCCCAACTAGCTGGGAGTACAGGTGCCCGCCACCATGCCCAGCTAATTTTTTGTATTTTTAGTAGAGACGGGGTTTTGGTTTTGCCATGTGGCCAGGCTGATCTTGACCTCCTAACCTCAGGTGATCCACCTGCCTGGGCCTTCCAAAGTGCTGGGATTACAGGCATGAGCCACCACGCCCAGCCAGTTTTAACCTTTTTTAAACATCACAATCTAAAAGTGTAGGTGCCACCTCAGCATTTGTGAGGAAAATAGGAGCACTGGAAGAAGGACAGACTGGAAGTATGTTGATGCTTATTTACAGTCTACAGGGAAGGATGTTTCTATCCATTTCCTTATGAGGCATGCAATCATCACATGGCAAATAGGAATAGATATGAAGCTGTTGTTTCATGGTATCAGTAAATTGCATCAGTGTAATCTCGTAGCCATAGTTGAAAAGATCATAAAATGAGAGAAAATGAAAGAAAAGTAGATGCTTCTTATAAAAAAGTGAGAACATCTGCTCCTCTGTTGTCTTTATAAAATATAATTGTAATCACCCCATTTTTATTTTAAATATAGATTTAATTGCCATTGAATAGTGCAATGGACTGCATGTTTATGTCCCTCAAAATTTACATGTTGAAATCCCAGCTCCCAATGTGATGATATTAGGAGGTTGGGCAGTTGGGAGGAAATTAGGTCATAATTGTGAAGTTCTCATGAATGTTATCAGTGCCTTTAAAAAGGGCCTACAGAGGTCCTTCAACGCTTCTGCCATTTGAGGATAGAAAGAGAAGATGGCAGTTTGCAACCAAGGAAGAGGGCCCTTACCAGAACCTGACCATTGCTGGTACCCAGATCTCAGATTCCCAGCATCCAGAACTGTAAGAAATAATTTCTGTTATTTATAAGCCACCCAGTCTACAGTACTTTGTTCTGGCTGCCCAAATGGGCTAAGACAAATGGATATAGACTAATTAAACAATTTTCCTTCTGTAGGATATTTATGGACTTCTAATTTTTTATCATTATAGATAATGGAGTAATTAGCATCTTTATATATGAATCACAATCTGTAGGTCCTTTGGTTGGATTTGTGGAAGTGGATTTATTTTATCAAAGTTGATAGCACTTTCTATGGCATTGATACATCTTGTAAGATGCACTTTGTGAGCACTGTTTTTTTTTTTCTGCTGAAAATGGAATAGTGGCAATGAATACAGCATTAGAAGCAGACCAGATTAATGAGTCTTATGAAGCCTTCCAATGCTACTCAGCATAAGAAAGTTATTTCCCACTGACTTTTTGAAGTGAGATTCAATGCCCAGGCTCCTCGTGTTTTTGCCAAGATTACCTGTGGAAATCCAATATGAGACTTTAAACAAATATCTGAGAAACCTATCATTCCTGGGAAACCACTGACATCATCCTTAGATAGTCATATATAAGAAATATGGTTTTTCTTTAGGTATCCGTTAAAAATTTGACCAATAATTTTAGTCTGTGGATAAATATAAACAATAATTTGTGTCAACATTGCCCAATGTTCTTTTTGACCCTCATAGGAAACTTGAGCTTGGAAAATAACATATTTTCCAAGTTATGCTGACTATTTCATATATTAGAAATTAAATAAGGAGTTAGGTTAACACAAATGTCCAATATTTATATTTTATTATAAAGACAATAGATTTTGAAAGTATTTTGCAAATTTAATAATCACGATAATACGATATACCTAAAAAATTAGATTGTTTTATATCTCTTCATTTCTTGGTATATGGACCTGAGCCTTTCATGAATGAATGACTTGCTGTAAATGCACTAAGTTTTGCCAGACCTCAGCATTTTGTTTATGTGGCTGATTTTTAGGTCTGTTCATTTATCCCTGAATTTCTCTATCTCAGTAACTATCTGAACTATTACCAAATTAAATTTTATGTCTGCTTTTCCAAACTTAAATGCAGCACTGACACAAAATGAGTCCAGAGACTAGAAAGAAGTTAAAGTAGTAGATATAGACTTGAACCTTCAAGATTTATAAAGTAGAACACATTGGTTTTGTGAAATTTGAAAATTTGAAATAGTGAAAAATTTAGATTAAAGAATATTGGCAAAATAATATTACAAACTAGATCTAGTTATTGTTTTAAATAGGGAAGGATGCCTCTGTCCCTTATACCATAAATGTGTACAGAGGAAGTATTATAGGCTGAAGGGTTGTGTTTTTTCCATATTCATATCTTGAATACCTAACCCCAGTGTGGTTATATTTGGAGATAGGGTCTTAGAGAAAGTAATTAAGGTTGAATGAGTTCATGTGGGTGGGGCCCTGATCTAATAGGATTAGTGTCCTATAAGAAGAGACACCAGAGAGCTTTCTCTCTTTATCTCTCTATGCATTCACATGCCCAAGAAAGACCATGTGAAAGCATAGCAAAAAGGTGGCCATCTACAAGCCACAAAGAGGACCCTCCTCAGAAACTGAATCAGCTGGCACCTTGATCAGGGACTTCTAGCTTCCTGAACTGTAAGAAATAAACTTAAATTGTTAAAGTCACCCAGTCTGTGGTATTTGTTATGACAGCCCTAGCAGACTAATAGGGGAAGTTTCATAGCAGAGAAAAGATTCTATGATTTGAGTTAGAGCTGTGAGATACTTATAGTAGGTGATTATGTTCTACATAGTATCTCCTTGTATCCTTGTATATTGTATATAGTTTTATAATTCTTGTAAGAGTAGCTTGTTTTTTCATCCTGAGTAGTTCATGAAAATAAAAGGAAACAAAATATGTTTATTGGACACTTAACATGTGCCAAGCACCATTTCACATGTGTTTTCTCATTTAATCTTTAGAAACATCTTGCAATGTAAATATTATTATTCCAATAATTTTAGTTAAAAAGGTAAAATAACTCATTCTTACAATCTTAGCTAGTTAATGGGCAAATTTGGAATTCAAACTAGTCTTTTTTATTTTCCTTTCTACAAAGCCGTGGCTTGTTCATCATATAACATTCAGGGTCAGAAAATAGGAACCACTCTGGTATTTCAAATGCAGAGTACTGATTATGCTGGAAATAGAAGAGCTGAAAAGTCAAACAGAAGATGATGAAGCTGCCTAGCAAGTAACACAGGAAGACATAGCTACTACTCTTGAGCTGGATGAGAGATGGTATTACAGGAACCCAGAACTGGAACTCCTGGTGGAAGCTGGAAGTTCTCCCTCTCTGTTCTATGGCAGTTGGACCAATGACAAAGAGGTTGTCTAACAGGAGCTATAACTGCCATCATGGACACCGTCCAAAGCAGAGAGCGATATGAAGAAATACTCTGGCTTGTCTCCTCCTCCTGCCCTCCAGCCCCTCATTAGCCAAACTTCCAGAAAGCCAGAAAGCAAGGGGCTCAGGAAGTATGTGGGGAACAGGGCAGAGAAAGAGCGAGTAATAAATTTAAGAGCAAATAAGTAAATGGCCAGGGCAGACTGTGTCATCTTGCCATCTAAGTGATAGAAACTCTCAGATTCTATATCATTTTGAGTTGTCTTAAATCCCAGTAAACTGTTATGCTTGAATTCATGTCTTTATACCTGAAATGGCCTCATTACTCATTTAGACTCATTTTACACATTATAAAACTGTGATCCAAAGAGGTAAATTTATTTAGTACAAGTCAAATAGCAGGTAAATAGCAGAACCAGGACCAAATTCAGAAATTTTGAGACCAAGTTCAGTACTCTTCCCATTTCACCTTGAAGTGCTCCACACACACTTAAAAAATTGAAGTAAATTGATTCAACTGAGGTTATTATGGTGAAAGAGAAATGACAAGTTTCCAAAGACCCAGCGATGTGTTGCGAGTACAGTACCATAAAGAATATCCCTGGTGAAGTCATCATATTAAACTCTTCTTTACCATGAATTAGTGCTCATTTTTTGTGTTTTTTAATACATATTTTAAATTTTCTTTTGTGGTCAATGGAAACACAGAATTATCTTAAACTTATTTTGAATTACCACTTGATTTGCTTAAACATACCTACACTAAAACTGATGACTATCAAAAGTATTAATATAAAATAGAGTCTATCCATAAACAAACCACATGTATACAACATTTAGATTTTTTAAATTCTTAAATAAATATAATTTGAACATTATTCTTAAAGGATCACATTTAAAATTAATCCCCTTCTCCCCCAATAATTTAGGAGTGGTAACCAAAGAAAACCTCTTGAACCAAGGATACATATATTTATTTCACCTCGTAGAAATTTATAGCATTTTTTTCTGGGCATTTTTGTTATATTACTCAGTAAATACAAAAAGCAAGAAAGTATATTTCTATTTTTTTAGAACTTGCCCTGGATAAAGGAAAAGAAAGGAAGACAGATGAAAGTTTATTCTATACCCTGTTTTTCTGTGTTTTCTTATGCTACCAGGCCACAATATTCCAAATTGGAGAACATTAATTATCTTAGCTATGGAACTCTACACAGTATTTCTGTGGGCTAAAACTGGGTATATTAAAATAAACTCAAATCTTTTACGACTTCCTTCCAACTGCCTCTCTTTCACCACTGGCACCATATATTGCTACTAATTCTGTTTCCAAATTGTAGTTTGGAGTATAGAAACAATCATGCCAGGTTCATTACGCAACTCCATTTTAAAGTTTCCAGTGTCTTTTTCCTTCCATCAGACGCTCCTCTATCCTCTTAGTTACTTTCCTCCTTTCTATGTGGTAGCAAAGCATCATTCTTGCTGTCATTGACAGACAGCTAGTAACTCAGTCTATTGTCCATGGCTTCAAAACTATGAGTTTTCCCACTCTATCCCCCCTATCAGATATGCACACCCAACTCTCCAACTCTTTCTCATAGTAAATAGTGACAATAGTCCATTTATATACTGAGACAGTAATATTTGCCTAAAGAGAGTGAGTCTATTAGTCCTTCATATTACACATTCCAGGAATCATAAGCCAAATCATGGTCTATGTGAATGGCACTTGCAGAGTCAGGCAGTGCATAGATGTTTACAGGGATTACAGTGACAATGACCACTCTGCATAGTTGTGTGAAAGGACATTTTTGCAAGGATATAAAAAATATGTTATCAGCCAATTAAGTGGGGTGTGGAAGATACACTAAAGCTTTGCCCAGATTACAGGACAGTTCTGGCAGAGATCCATCAGTCTACATACCAATGTCTAATGTCCAGGTTTTGCATAGTTCCAGATCCCTTTCACCAGATGTCTTAGACGGTCTACATTTTCTCACTGCATCCGACTTCTTTCTCCTGCTTCATCCAAGTTGTATATCTTCCCCTTGTAGCTACTTCTAAGCTTCTTCTAGACTCCGCCTTATTGTCTAACTGTCCACTGCCTTCTACTGACTTGTTTGAGCTCACCTTCCATCCACTATTCTCAACACATACAAATGTATATTATGCCTAGAAAGAGATAAAGGTATTTCTTATCAGCTATTAACCATTTCTCATATAATTACATGATAGTAAAATGATTACTCCAAATATATATACATATGAAAATCAAATGTTAGCATTCACCAAAGCTTATTTCTCATAAGAATCTGCAGGAGCAATTTTTATTAATTAAACTTACAAAGCATCTATTTTTTAAATGATTAATAGAGAACTTAGGATATGTTAGCTAGTAAGTTCCCATGAGCACCTGCTTGTGCTGAAAACAATTATTCTCTTTTCATTCTCTTTTCAGAAAAAAAAGAGAAAAAAGAAACTGGCATTTATCTTTGTAGTGGTTCATTCGGAACTATTCATAGTGTTTTGCATTATCCTGCCCTTCACTGTGCCTTTTCAAGAAGATCACAGAGTATTAACACTAAAGGAAGTATTTGGGCCTACAACAATTAAGGGAAATTCCTTTGTCTATGGTGGTTGACCATAACCCATAGTCACACAGCAGAGTGAGGTCTAGTGTTCAGTGATTCTGAATTCCTACAATATTGTATTATTTACCTTTACAAAATAGATGCAAACTAAGAAATATTCCTTTTAATTTCTTGGCCTGACAATTCAGTTAAATAGAGACTTGTGATAATATCATATCTTCTCTTCTGATTTAAGAGCTTTATTCACTGGCACTTGTGTGGGCCATGAATCAACCTATGGAATTAGAATAGGTCTACTTAGTAAATTTTCTCACCATTGTTATCATCTTTTTGATAATAATGAAGCTTCCTACTGGTGACATAACTTCTTCAGTTCTACAGAAACCATGAAAACACTGGTAGATTCTTGAAGTTTACGAACAACACCTGAAGAATATTTTATGAATCTCCATACTTGTTGTGGTTTATCCAATAAAAACTTTATTTTCTGGTTGGATGTTAATACTATCTTAAATATTTTTACCTTTTCATCCATCGTCTTCCTGAGAAGTTTTTGTTTGTTTGCTGCCTTTTTTTTTTTTTTTCCCTCAGAGATAGGGTCTTGCTATTGAGCCCAGGCTGGCCTTGAACTCCTGTGCTCAAGTGATCCTCTTGCCTTAGCCTCTTGAGTAGCTAGGACTACAAGCATGCACCAGTGTGCCTGGCTTGGTTTTGCTTTTTCAGGCACTGGAGAAGGGGAAACAATTCTTTCATAATGAAGTGATTGACTTTTTAATACTTCAGTGGAAAACTAAAGTGAACCACATGTTCTCATAAGTGGGAGTTGAACAATGAGAGCACATGGATCCAGGGAGGGGAACATCACACACCGGGGCCTGTTGGGGTATGGGGGGCTAGGGGAGGAATAGCATTAGGAGAAATACCTAACGTAGATGACGGGTTGATGGGTGCAGCAAACCACCATGGCACATGTATACCTATGTAGCAAACCTGCACATTCTGCACATATATCCCAGCACTTAAAGCAAAAAAAAAAAAAAAAAAAAAAAAAAATTCAGCTAAGGTAGACTGCAATATAGAGATTCTGGGCAGTCAGCTAAGTTCATTCACTAACCATGCAACTTGCTACTATTGATCAGTTTACATCACAGTTTGTATCGCAGCAATATTAAAACATTTTATACATCAAAGAATTTCATGTTGGTTTGTGAATTGCCAAAACTGCAAATATTCATAAATACAAGAATTTGTTGATTTTGAGCAGGTACCAAACATATCCTGCCTAGCATTCACCTGAAATTACCACAGCTAGACTTTCCCCATTACTTTTCTTGGAGTCTCAGGGGAAAGTAACTCTTAACTCCATGCCTATACTCCAGTCATGCCATTTATGACCTAAAGCAACAGGAGGGAAATTCTCCTTTCTCAGACTTAGCTGTTCCTTCTTGTTCTTGGGTCCTTTTAAAAAAACAACAGGAAGGAAAAAAGAAAAAAGGAAACATACAGTGGGGAAGCCTGAAGCTGCAACACAAATAATGATTATTCCTGTCAAGGTTTAGCTGTGGTTGCTAAGTTACTGGCCTGTTCTGAAAAACCTTGAAGTATGGGACACATTAGGAGCTCGTTAGGTCCTGGTGACTTGCGGTAAGCGTACAATTTGTCTCTGTGCTAAACACACTTCAAAAATAACAATAAAACCCCACATGGCTTAAAATTTATGACCTTTCTCTTTCTTATTTCATTTCTCCTCCCCCTCACGCAACATTTCATAGTCTTGTATTATTTTGAAAGCTATGCCATTGGAAAAATAAACAGAAGCATTTTGCAATGGATGGGAAGAAGATACATTAATTTAAAGCCTATGGCATTTAATGAAGGTGTTCACGGAGAAAACCACATGAAGGTTTGAGGAAACTAAAATACAACTTTCTAATAATTGTTTACAAAGCAAGCTGCAGGGCCATCAGCTTACTTTCAGAGAGTATCTACAGTACGTGTGTACCAGGCTTCAAGATGTTTCAGGAACAGAAAGCATTTGACTATTTTATCTTATGCTTGTCTCCATTTTGTGTTTATATCATTATTGTCATTTGTCCAATTCACAGATCTTGGAATAAACCTAGTGATTTCTATTTGCAATTCGAAATTAGGATTTGTGTGGAATATCACATTCTTGAGGCCAAACTTGGTTATGGTTTCAATAAGAAACCATTTTAATTTCCATAGGTGCAGGCTTGTTTCCACTCACATTATTTTAGTGCCCCTTGCTGCAGGTTTTAACTTCCTCAAGTTTGAACAAGTTGTAACATATTAGTGGGAATGAACTTATGGAGAAAGTAAAGTTGGGAGGAAAAGGGGTGGGAGAAAGCAGGAAAAGAGGGGATAAAGAGTGGGTATCAGAGGAGAAGGGGAAAAGAGGAAAAGCCCAAAGATACCTTCAGGCAATCTGTAGCCATTGCAAAACTGGCAAATTGTAAAGATAGGAAGTAACCATTGTGGTGTTTCTGTGACTACCCAAATAATTAAAACAAGACTCCATTCGCCTTTGGGAAGTAGAATCTAAGACCTGAAGGTAAGCCTTACAAAGGGGAATCAATCACATTTTCTGTGCCAACTTTATAAATCTATGTTAATCTTAAACCATGTTGGTCTGCAATCTGAGAACTTTCTGATATGCTTAGATCTGAACTGTTTCAAAAGGAACATCTTTTATGATTTTCTGCCAATAATGAATCAGAATTTAAATGGTATTAAGAAATCTCAAATCAGAAATAATACTAGATGAAATGCTTTTCTCATTACACACACACACACACACACACACACAGAACTTTTCCTTTCTCAATTATGTTATCTTTCTGAGAGATTGCCTCACCTAACTATTGAAATCAATTTGCTTCTCTCTCCTTTGCCCAAAATAATGCTCTGGATTCTCTCAAAGCATCTTTGCCATTTTCATCAATATTCAGATTCCAAAATATCTCTCCAATTGCTCTATAGTTCTTTGAAAAGCATGATTTAATATGTGACACATTCTTAAATTAACCAAACTTTCTAATCAAAAAAGAATCTCAACATTAAGCCTTTATTCCTCTTAGTGAGAAAAAAAGAAAACAAAAGACATATTTTGGAAGGTGGCAGATACCATGTATCATCAAGAACAGACTCTAATTCATTTGTTACTTTTTCCAACTATACCTTTTATTCCAACATTTTTTTTTTTTTTTAGACTGTCTCACTCGGTCACCCAGGCTGGAATGCAGTGGCACGATCTTGTCTCAGTGCAACCTCCGCCTCCTGGGTTCAAGCGATTCTCATGCCTCAGGCTCCTGAGTATCTGGGACAACAGGCACCTACCACCACACCCAGCTAACTTTTGTATATTAGTAGAGACAGGGTTTCACCATGTTGGCCAGGCTGGACTTGAACTCCTGACCTCAAGTGATCTGCCCTCCTCGGCCTCCCAATGTGCTGGGGTTACAGTCATGAGCCACCTTGTCCAGCCCCAACATAATATTGTTATGAATTGTGTTTTATTTTTTTCTGGTGTTAGAAATCATTCATGATTGTAGTGGACTGAGTTAATTTATTATACTTGGCTGTGCTGTACATGATAGGTTCTGTTAATAGATGCCAATTGCCTAGGCCCAGGTGTAGATGTGCAACTTAGGCTTTACCAATCAATGACTACCATTTAAGCAGGATCAGTCAGAATTTCTTCTGGAATTGATACACAGATGTTGAGAGAAGGAGTTTTCCTCTCTATATACCGTGTTTACTAAATTGGGAGGATGTGAACCTGTAGCTGACAGTTGCCATCTCTAAAGAAAGCCTTCTACAACAGCATAAAGCTCAATAAAGGCAAGCAGAGTTGAAAGGCAGGCAGTGTGAGTCTTGACAGCACAGTATCAGGTTTCCAGTACCTGAAGCCCTTATTCTACCAGCTTTCTGGATCCTGCTTCATCATTTCCCCACCTCTACATTCCCACTATCACAGAGACATTCCCACTAGCACAAATATTAATATCATTCATCTTAAAACCAAGGCAAAAAATAAGTTTATAGCATCTCTAATCATTAGCTCATTTCTCTACAAACTTCTCAAAAGAGTAGTCAGTCTTACAATCACTGACTCCAATTCTACACATCCCCTTTCCTCTTTGTAGGTTTCAGTTATGTTATTTTTTGTTCATGCAGAAAAATATATGTAACATGTTTTACATTGTGAAGCATAATAACATAACTTAAGAATTATAATATTACCAATTCTATTTTACTTTCCTCTGTGTTCCTTTCTATATACATTTCTATATACTTTCTATATACATTTCATTGCCTTCCTTAGAGAAAAGATAACGGCTATCTTAAATTTTAAGTATATATTTCCTTTCCTTTTAATTATTAAGAGTTTTACCACATACATATTTTTCCATAAATAACATACTACCTCCTTTGAGCGACTCCACAGGGGCTTTCTCCATTTTCACTGATACTGCCCTTGTTCTGATCACCAGCCATCTTCACATTTCAAAATCCAATCATGAATTCTCAGGCATCATTATCTTGACCTATCAAGAGCACTGGACATGTTTTGTTATTGCCTTTCCTTTGAGCATCTCTCTTGGTCTCTGGGGAGCCACTCTGTACTTAACCTCATCTGGGTTTCTACCTACCTTATTCAATGATCCTTCTCAGTCCCTTTGGCAAGATGTTCTTTTTTTTCTCTAACCTCTGTAACTGTTGGAGATTCCTAAGGGCTCGGACACTTCTGGTTTATCTAAACTCACTTCCTAAGTGACCTCATCTAGGCCTTATCTATAGAGTTGATACTTCAAAATACATATTCAAAATACTCTTCTCTCAATTCAAGGTGTGTTTATCCAGTGGACAATTCTGTGTCTTACTTGGACTTTCTGAGCTCCTTATCTCCTCATTCTTTCACAGTCTTTCCATTGAAGTACATGCTATCTTTATTGTGTCAGTTGCTTAGACCAAAACCTCTGAAACAAGCTTGGCTCCTCTTTCTTTCATACCCACATTCAAACCATCAGCAAATCCTATTTTCTCTACCTCAAAATATATCCAGATTCTAACCTCTTTCTATTGTGCTATTGCTACCATCCTGGTACAAATCACCATCTTCTCTCTCCTGGACTATTGTAATGACCAAATTCCTATTTTCTCCTTTGCCATTCTGCATGTTTTTTCTTTCTCCATGTAGCAGACAGATTGATCTTTTAAAAATTAAGTCACATCATACTATATCTCTGAGCAAAACCTGTTGACAGCTTTCCATCTTGCTCAGAGTGGAAGTTAAAACCCTTAATACAACTTACGATGCCCTTTGTGATCTTATTCCAGCTCTGTATCTGACTTCATCTCCTATACTCTTGCCTTCATTTCCTCTGCCCCAACCATAAAGGACCATGTCCTTTTTCTCAAACATGCCAAACCTGTTCTTGTCACAGCCTTGGTATCTACTGTTCTTTTCATATGACACAGTCTACTTCTTTACAAGGTTCTCAATCTATGCCCTATTCACATCCTTGGCTGGATAATTCTGTGTCATGGTGGACTTCCTGTGCCTCATGAGGTGTTTGCAGAGTCTCTTGCTCTACTCACTAGATGCCTGTAGAACCAGTTGTGATAACAGAAAATGTCTCTACTCATTGACAAATGTCCCTGGGGAGAAAAGCCATGCCCAGTTGAGAATCATTGGTCTAAACCCAAGTTAATGTAACAAGAAAAGGAGTTTTCTATCTGTATTGTTGATTATTATAGGACCAATATACAATAAATCCTCAAAAATATTCTTTAAGTAAATGAAAGCATGGATTCTGTGAAGTATCCCAATATTTTTTCCATTAACGTGAGCTAATAAATTATCTTTTTGCTTAACTTTGTTTGAAATGACTTTCTGTGTCTTACAAAGGAAAGATTTGTTGGAATAATTAAAAGATGTAAAAAGAAAATGTATGATTGTATAAAGAAGTGGATTTTCAAGATGACAAAAATAATTTATTTAAAATAGCTAGATTTTTATATTGATGGACAAGGATAAATGTAGTCTGGGGAAATAGTCTTTAAAATTGCAAATTTTTAGGAATTAAAGTAGTTGGTTCTCCAATATGCACTATGCTGATGCTCAGAAGTGTCACTCATTACACTTTACTCAGTAAAATTCTTTTGGCAACCTAATAATAAGATGCTTCTTTGAACACAAACATATTGAAAAACAGTCCATCTTCCATTCATTCTCTAATCCTTTATTGAAACATTGATACAGTACAGTTCTTCTGAAGTAATCTGTGGAGCTACATACATGACTACATCAGCAACTTTGCTTTTTAGGGGTTCATAGTTTATTGAAGGAGAACTTATATAAAAAGATAGTTACAATAAACTGAGAGACCCTTTACATAAAGGTGTGTGTCTATAGCTATATCTATATGTGTATCTGTAAGTATAAGCACATAGGACAGTTAACCTCACTTAGGAAGCTCAGAGAGGTAGCATTTGCCCTGGGGTTTTGCACAATAAATACATGATTGAATAAGGTGTTTACCTGGTGAGAAAAGGAAGGAAGATTATTTCTGGCAGAGAGAACAGCATGTAAAAGGCTTGGAGGTGTGATATAATTTGACATATAAAGAGAATCCCTCAGGAATATATGTGGCTGGATTGTACAATGCGTAAGGAGGAAGCCTGAGAAAAGAAAAAGTTGAGATAAATGAGGCCAGGTCATAAAGGGGCCTTATAAGTTTCATTAAGGTATATGTATGTGTATGTGCACTTTATCCTATATATAAGTCATATCCATCCCAGTTTTTTAGGGAAAAGAGTTATATGCTCAGATGCGTGTTCAAGAAGACCACTCTTCATGTTTGTGGTTAATATATGGTTGGGAAAGATATGAAATGGAGAATGTTCACCTAATAGCCTACCACAATCTTCTAAGGAAGAAAAATAAGGAATTGAACTAAACCACGAGCAACAGGCCTTACAAGGTGACTGTGGATTTCAGCAATATTTATATGAGTGAATCCACAAGTCAAGGTGATTGATTGGCATGTAAAAGAGAAGAAAGAGTAAAAGGTGTCCCTGGGGATCCTATTTTGGGAAATTTAGGAATGAAAGAACTGTGTGGCAGTGATCACCTGGAAAAAGAGGAAGACAACCTGTCCCTGAGATCCCGTTATAATAAGAGCAATGCTTGGTGTTCAGATTCTTTTCTAGTTGCTATGAATACTGATCACATTTATTCAGATGGGAAATTCAGGTGGAGTAGGAAAAATATTAAACATCTGGGGTATCTCTACCAACGTCATATTTTTAAAAAACAATATTGCTTTGAAATCTTGATGCTGAAATTACAAGGCAGACACTTAAAATATCAGCTGTCTTTGGCGAGGAATCCTTTTAAAGAGTAACGCTCAACTTTGCATGTTTATGAACTCCTTCATGGACAGTCGCGGCAACTTATTTTTTGGCGTCAAACCATCTCTATGAGTTCTCCACTTTTTTGTCCGTCTCACTTAAACCAAATTACATGTGTGACTTGGCAAGTCTTAGATGTGTGCCTGTTTGTGAGTTAACACTGCCACCTAGCATCTGAAGGGGATTTTTGTTTGCCTTCTAAAGAAAATCCAATTTCTCCTCCAGGCATCAGTGCCAGAACTCCTACCTTGAAAGGAACGTGTTTACGATTAATTAGCGTTGCAGGTGAAGAGCTTCTCATTGTTACATCAACATTTCGGCGTGCTGTGCTAAACATTCGGAGTGTCCATCACCGGAAAGTGGCAGAGAGAAGTTAGCATAGCAGCGTGTTTGTGCGTCTGCTGACCATGCACGTATGTTTCACTTCAGAGATGGAGAGGAAAAAGGGAAGGGGGGGAGGCAACTTACAGAACAATGAAAAGCACGCAGCTGGACCTGCAGGGGAGTCAGCAACAAATCACCGAAGAATGGAAGAGTTGGCAAGAGAGGGAGTGGCGGGGGCAGAAGGGATTTAGCAACATATAGAAACATGGAAGGAAAGGGAAGGAGGGGAAATGGTATAGGCAGATAGATGACACAGAAACATAAATATGTGAGTCACTGAAAGCAAAAAAAAAAACCTTTTCAGGATCTTTTTCTCTTTCCTTTTCTCTCTTCTCTCGTTTGGCTGAATGCATCACCGCAAGTTGGCTAGCCTTACTGCTTAGAACCAGCGTTTCTTGGTCAAGGCTTAAGTGTTTTTTTGTTTGTTTGTTTGTTTGTTTTTTCTGATTTGCATTTCTTGGGTTTGAACACAGTGTTCTTTAGTGCTTCATTAGTTTTCATTTGTATAATACATGCATCAAAGATAGACAGGTATTTAGGTTCAGTTATTATTAAACTTGTCTAAAGGAACTTTGGGGTTCTGAATTCTAAGCTGTGTGTACCTGTGTTCAGGATTCTACAAAGATCACAGAAATATGCCCCCTTGTGCCTCTAGGTGTCTTGCAAAGATGTCAAAAAGCAAATTTTGTACAGTACTTTGAGCTGCGTGTGAGAACACCATTATTTCTCCCTGATACCCTCTGCTGTGACAGTTTTATGTTTAAAAGTCTTTAACAGTTTGCTTTAGGGAAATGTGTATACATCTGAAAGAAAGTTCCCAGGTCCTGATTCCTATGGTGTTTCCTTATCAGAAACAACCCTACACCAGATTCACAATTTATCACTGTCTGACTTTTCTTTCCTGGGTTGCTGTCTTTTTTCTTGTCTTGCTTTCTTCCTTTCTTTACTTCCTCCAGTGTAAACAAACTAATATTCCAATCCCCTAATGTCCATATCTCTGCTTCTCGTACTGTATGTATTTGTGAGTGCGTGTCTGTGTTTGTTCCAGGCAACTGTGAAGGATTGAGTAGTTCCATTCCAAAGTTCTGGCAAATTCCCAGTCCTGGCAAATTGTAAGAGCAGAGTCAGGAACAAAATTCAGGTAACTGTAGTCGCTTGGCTGTTGCTGTTCCCTATTCTGACCTGTCGTCTTCTTCTCCTGCTATGACTGTCCTTGGTTCTGTCACCTGCCCCCAGGGATACTGTTTTTGTAGTTTCTCACCAAGATAGCTCAGCACTTCCTCCTCCTAAAGCTCGAGAAAGCCTTTAAAAAAATCAAGTTCAGAATAATCCTTTCCATCAGGCCATTCCACACTTTGCCACACATTATTTTCTTCTTTTAATGGACTGCTGTGTATTTGTGTTGACTTATTCAAAAGTAGCATCTAGTCAGGCTTCTGTTTTGGGCAAGGATAAAACCACTCATCCTCTTGTGGTAGAACACTCAGAAGTACAACTATATGCCCCCATGTTTATTGCCCTATTGTGCTACCTTAATGTTACTCCATGAGAAGCAACCCCTTCTCCACAATGTCCTTCCTTCTATTTCTGTGATCTCCATGTAAAAAATTCACATGAACCCAACCTCCTATAACCAGGGCTGCAGCAAAACCAGCTGGCAGCAGAGCTGCATTGGGCAGGGCAGCAGCAAGAATTAAAATCATTCATCTTCTTTCTTTCCATTGGCAGCCAGGGGAAGGCCGGGTGGAAAGGTTATGAATTGCCACATTTCCAAGGCAACCACAAGTTTGAGGATTTAGGAAGGTACTGACATGATGATACAGGTTAAGATATGTATCAGGGGTCTCTACCTTTTTGCATGGCAATTCTGTGCTTTTGTAATTTATACTTCATTCATAGACATGTACTCTAGGATTTCATTCTGGCATCAAGGCAAGTTGCTTCCTGCACAGCACTATGCAGATTTAACCCTTTATTAAATCACTTACTGTTTTTGGTACTGATTGAATTTGGTGATTTATAGATTAATTTCAGAAGCAGATTTTAAAAACTTTTTTTGGGAGAAAATCCACTTACTTAAATTACAGTGCCAGATATTTAAAGAGATATTCAGCATTTTGAATTTCAGGGGGAAAAACACAGGTCTCTCTTTCTTACCCTTCATCTCCAGTATTCTTAGAATTCTAAACACCGTATGTTTCATTGCCTATGAAATGCTCAGATAATAAAATGTTTATAGTTGAAGTTGACTCATGAAGCCTGTGTTCGTTATGAAAAGAAATTGCTAGGTGGGGGCTGAAAATTTACAACAGACACCAACAGGAAGAGATAGTGGTGCAAATCACACTAAGACATAGAGCTTTTCATATTAAATGACTCTCATGTACCATTTAGAATGATCAACACTTGGAGACGATACAGAATTCACAGAGAAAGGCTTCAAAGAGTATTTTGTACATATACTAAAACCAGGAATTAATTTTTCCCCCAACCTCAACCAGACATCAGGGTCTATTCTGAAACATTGTAATAAAGAGGACTGATACTGTTTATTTTAGGGTATCTTTTTTTCTTATTTATTTTTTATACTCTCTTAAAGAGGGCAGCTATATACATAGAACATGAAATTATGTATAATTTAAACATCAGGGGTTAATAGTGGATTCTTTCTTCATTTAAGCCTCTTAATACTTTGGGGCTTCGTTATCCTAATCTATGAAATGGAAGGAGGGTGCTTTAAATCCTTAGTTACAAATGAAATTATAGATATTTATGTTCTTTTCTGCAGTTTAGTTATGTTCTTCACATCCACCTTATTCTCTATAACATATGCATGTGTAGCACTTTTTAAATGCAGATGGCACAATCTCTGGAGCTATAGAATGAAGGTAGTATTTATCTCAGAATTTCTATACCTCTGATTACCTAAATACACTAATAGAAAAATTGGGCTGAAGAAACACAGTAACTAAGCAAGATACTAGCATAGTCACACTGAGTATTGAAACTCCAGAAAATGTATTAACCAACATACAATTACTTAGGGAAAGACAAAGAAAACTGGGTGTAAAACAAAAATGTTTTTTTACATGTTTACTTCTTTGCCATGACATTTTCAGAAGGCAAATTTCTGAAAATAGGAAGATGTTCCAGACTCAGTTCATAAACCGCTACTTCAGGAACACATTTTCCTTGCTTCCTGGCTGGGGCACTATTGGAAGACTATTATTCATGGGTATGGATCACATTTCTGCAAGTGTGGTATACAGAGGTACTGACTGCCTTTGTTTGAGACATAGTGATAATATCACCTTCCAGAGCAAAGGGAAGGTTTGTGTAGTATATGTTATAATAAAGATAATGTCTATTTCCAGGGCAAAGGTCAGGCAGGCTTATTGTCCATTATAGAATATTTAAATTTCCCAGGCTTTGAGTTATCCCTTTAAAATGCAACCTACTATGTTTTCAAGTGTATCCTGGCTTTCTTCAAGTCATTGTGTGGAAATCAGGGCTTAGGGAACCGCACAAATGCAGATACTCTGGTTAGTGCTACTGCTGTCAGGAATAAAGTTCTTTTTCACTTGCCCAAGACTGTCATGTATTTTGCGAGCATCCAGGAAACGGAGGTAGACCAATTTGTTAACTGACAAGTAGGGGAAAATCTCAGACCCTTTATAAGTCTTGATAAACAGCAGCTTGTATTTTCCCTTGGTCCTAGCTCCAGGTCTCTATAGCTACAGTCCTTGATGTTTGATAGATAATGGGCTCAGTATTGCTTTCATCATTTCCTGGCTGTCAGGTGCTGTTTATGAGTTGAATTGTATCCCCCCCACTCAAAAATAAATTCATCTGTTGAAGTCTTAACTCTCAGTACCTCAGAAGGTGATCTTATTTGAAAATAGGGTCATTGCAAATGTAATTAGCTAATTAAGATGAGGTTATTAGGATGAGCCTTAATGCAATGTGCCTGGATGTCCATATGGAAAGAGGAAATTTGGACACAGAGATGCACTTATGGGGAGTGCCAAGGGAAGATGAAGACAGGGGTCAAGATGATGCTTCAACAAGCCCAGGAATGCCAGATTGGTTAAAATAACAACCACCACAACACCACCACCACCACCACCAGAAGCTAGGTGTGAGGCACAGAACAGATTCTTCTTGATAATTCTCAGAAGCAACCAACACTGCCATAGCCTTTATCTCTGACTTATAACTTCCAGAGCTATAAGAAAATAAATTTCTGTTGTTTAAGCCACCCAGGTTACAGCAGCCCTGGAAAACCAAAACATGTGCTGTGCACCATGCTAAAAGCTAGGCACATCAAAGTGAACAAGATACAGGTCAGGCGCGGCGGCTCACGCCTGTAATCACAGGACTTTGGGAGGCTGAGGCGGGTGGATCACATGAGGTCAGGAATTCAAGACCAGCCTGGCCAACGTGGGGAAACCCCATCTCTACTGAAAATACAAAAATTAGCCAGACATGGTGGCGGGCGCCTGTAATCCCAGCTACTTGTGAGGCTGAGGCAAGAGAATCGCTTGAAACTGGAAGGCGGAGGTTGCAGTGAACCAAGATCACACCACTGCACTCCAGCCTGGGCAATATAGACACAGTGCCTGCTCTCTAGTAATATACAATCTAGCATTAGATCATAAAAAATAAACAAATAAAATAAAACTATTTATTTTAGTGTGTCAGGAAATAAAGAATATGCTACAAGAGAAAATTGGTGATAAGGACCAGTGATTACTTTAGATAAGATCAGGAAAGACTTTTCTCAGGATGCAACCTATAAGCCGAGAACTGAAAGAGTCTTCCATTCAAAGAAGTTTAGAGTTGGGAGGTTGAAGAGGGAGTGGTAGCCTATCTGAACCCAGAAAAGAATGTCAGCTTCGAGTATGCTAGGAACAATAAAAACAAAATATTTTTATCCTAGTGATTCAGGGAAGAAGGGCAAGAGGTCAAGTAAAAGTACACAGAGGCCAGGTCATGTTGGTATCCATTTAAGGACTTTAAATAAAGGAGAGATACACGGAGAAGCCTCACTCTGGCTTTTGTGCAGAGAATGAAAGGGTGAAGACTAGAGGGGACACGGGTAGATCAGTGAAAAATCCACCCCCGTGGTCAAATGATTAATACAGGGAACATATGCCAAAGGTAAAGGTATGGGAAATGAAGCAAAATAGATAATTTGGAGATTTAGTTTGAAAGAAGCACTAATGGAACTTGCTAATAATTGAGGATACAGAAATGAAGAAAGAAAACTCACGATGACTTCTATGTTGTTGGCTTGAGCAGACAGATGGGTACATAGTGGGACCATTAGCTAAAACAGAGAAAATGGAGGAAGAAAACAAGTTGTATTCTTGTGTGTGAAAGAAGTTGAGATAAGGCAGAAAAGAAAAACCAAAAATTTAGCATTATATAGTTGAGATTCCTTGAGACATCAAATAGAAATGTCAAGTGGACAGATGGTATACAAGCATTGTCTTCAATGTTGAGGTATGGGCTACAGATAATAATATGTTGTATATCAACATATGAATTGTACTTAATGTGCGGGAACTACAGGGAAGAAAGTGTAGAGATAGAAGAGAGAATATACATCCAATCCTTGAAGTAGATGTTAAGCAAATTACTTAAGTTCTTTGAAACTTAATGTTACCTATCATTGAAAAAAAATTACGTATTCTTGAAGTTGTGTGCAGATTAAATGAAATAATGTCTATGTGTAAAATGCAATGCAAATTAAGAGCTGAATACATTATGGTTATTATTGTAATCACATTAATATTTCTGTTTGTTACTTAAGTGACAGAAAATATGAAAGTGAAAGTAAAATGAGAAACAAAGAAAATATGTCTTTTAGAAATCAAATGGAGATCTTTAAGAAGAAAGGGTGATTAACTCTTTAAAATGCATATCAGAAGAAAACAAGGATAAGCATTGAGACATAACCACTGTATTTGTCTATAAGATTATACTGGAGAACTACTGCACCATGATGGCAAAAAATCAAGCATGTAAAAAAGAGAGAATTGAATAAATCTTAGAAAGGGCTGGGGCCAGTCCAAGGGAAGACTTTTTCAGAAAACAAGAGGCTAGTATGTGTTAAAAAAAGGAAAAACAGGCAACTTAAAGGAGAGACTGAAGATGTTAGTGATAATATATCTGAAGTCTGATTTAATTGATGTGAAATATATCACTGACAAAGTAACTAAAGGTCCTCCCCCTGGAACCAACCTGGGATCCATTCCTTGAGATGCAACTGGTCTTCCGCATTAACAGTGAAGATGATCACACTGAGCAGAGACTAGTTTGAGAATGGATATCTGAGTTTCATATAAGTGTAGGAAGGCAAGAACTTTGAGAATGGTATAAAGGAGAGAACAGGCATCACAAACCATGAAGTACAAGGAAACAAGGGAATATTTTCTGGCTTAAAAGGATTTGAAGGCCTCAGAACACTGAATGAGAAATCAGTGAGAGAGGTAGCAGGTAAGCAAGGAAGCAGATTGAAGACCCTAGATGTTTATGATACTGCTGTGCTAATGCCTTGATGAGTGAGACCAGCAGAAATAAGTGAAAGCAGGAGAAGCCATGAGATAATATTATAACATGATCAACCACATAAGCATTGAAATTTTCTGGAAATAAAGTAGAGAAGATACAGAAGACTTTGTGGTTATTCAGATAAAATGAGTCCATATGAAAGGTACACTTAATTGAGGTAATGCAAAAGGAGATCTTCTAGTGTAGTTTTGAGCCGGTAGTAGGCAATTAAGTTTAAGTGTATGCTGAATCAAAAGCAAATAATAGGACCATGGATTGGTGTAAACTTCAAATCACACGAAGTTGAAGGGCTTTTTTTTTGATTGAGCGGTTTTGAATTATCCGCATGGAACTGGAAGAAGCAAACTGGACCTTGTTCCCTTTTATCCACTGATAGTCAAAGACCGTGTCCTGTCCTCTTTTTGTACTCCCTGTGGTCTCGAGTTAATGTTAGTTGCATGGCAAATGATGATTCTGACATGAATGAATGCATACAGGCATGGACCAATGTTCTATTTGTGGATGAGTTCGAGCAGAGATCTGCCAACCACAGGTCAGATACTGTAAAGGGAACTTAAATATCACATGAGAGAAAGAAAAATGTGGCCTCCAAATCTCTTGAGCAGTAGACTCTAAAATTTTGAGATACTCTGAATCTAAGAATTAGTGGATCAAGGCCAATACAAAAGTACATTCTGAGACAAAGACCTCAAATATTGAAAAATATGTTCAGTCCCCAAATGAATGTGTCCTTTAGCTCTTTCTAAAACTTACCTAGAAAAGCAACAGTTTTCCAAGTGTAAAACAAAAGCTTTTACTAGACAAAGCTTTGCTTCTCAGGAAATATCTTTTTCAACTTAAAAGGATCATCTCATCTTTTTAGAATTTTTTGAGAGAGAACACTAGAAAGAGGTGTTGAAGGAAACAAACCTAAAATTATAGTTACATTGGAGGTATTTTCTTGACATGAACTTTAAAGAATACGCATCTCTTTTGAAAGGGGTAGGGAACTTAGATATAAAAACATTAGTGATACTCTTCTCTGCTTAAAGAGCATTCCAAAAATAATATACTTTCTCAAGAGACCACAGCAATGCTAAACAATTATGGCACTGTATCAGACCCAGAAATTTAGTGATATTTTCCTGGTGAAATACTAAATTTGCCATGTCAATTTGTTTTATGGAAAAACAAATTAATTGTATTATATGTTTTTATTAAAATCAGTTTAAATTTTATATTCCTTTCTAGCAATGTTTTCTCCATCAACTCCCACTTTCTATGGTCTCTTTGACACTTTCCTGCCTAGTCATAAGATGGATGTTATAATAATATAGTAAAAAATGTATTGAAATTAAAATAGCAGTAACTAACATTTGTACTGCACTTTATAGCAATTGAGTTTTACTGTTGCATCTCATTTATTAACTATCTTGTGAGCCAGTATTATTATTATTTGCATTTTCATTTTACAATACGAAGGCTCAGAGAGTTTAGAGTTTCTAGAGGCACACGGTAAGCAAAGGAAATAGGACTATGGACTTTTCTGGTGACAATTCAAAATTTTTTTGTTTCCTCTGTGGATGTTCACAATTATACCACTAAATTGGACACCTTCAGTTCTTCCTTTACACTGTCTCGGCAAAAAACAGCTTCTCCTTGTCTGAGCTCTAAACTGTCACCAGAAGAAAAAGTTAACGATAAGTCCTTGATTCTCTGTTCATGTAGCAAACTTTTACTTCTTGGAATATTTTGGGTATACAGAAGAGTAGACATATTTTTTATTATTTCAAAGCCCCTAAGCATGGAGAAGAGATCATCTTAAGACATCAAACGTATTCATTTATCAATGTTATGCTGACTTATGTTTCTGGGAAACAGAGCTTGACAATTCTGTCCTTTCTGGTGTATTATATAGGTAAAATGAGTACAAGCTTGAGAAAATAGACAGGATGAATTCATATCCCATTTCCTTTGTTTATTAACTGTGTGGCTTTAGAAAAAAATAATTCAATCATTGCACCTCAATTTCTCATTTGTATAATGGATGATATAATTTTTAGAAAGAAGGATTCTCATCCTCTTGGATGAGAGGTAGTATATGTTTAGAGACTGTCATATGGACTTCCTAGAGTTCTCAGCAGAGTATAGTTACTACTGCTATTTCTGCTGTAGGTCGTATAAATCATCCTGTTGCTGCTGCCGTCTTCTAAAAGCCAGCCCTAAAAATGATTGGGAATTGACATTAGAGATCACATTACATAGACTTTAAGGAGCTTGAGTGTATTTTTCCCAGTGGTCCATCCAATGTTTCTCCACACAACCCCTTCTCCTGCCACAATAACAGTAACAGACCAAGGACCACATGAAAGAAACCGTGCTGTTTTATAATCCTTACATGTACGGGTATAAGTGCTTTTATGTGATCCAGTAATTCCTTATTATCATAAAAGCATTCCTAGAAATTTCAGGACTATCAGCAGGCTCAAATGGTTCAGTAAATGCTTTTTGCTATGTTTGATGACTCAGGTGATCAGAAGATTTTTCTGATGTGCTGAAATCAAATGAATACAACTTGGAACTACCTGAACTGAAAAGTAAATAATTCTTCCTATGCTTTGTTTGTAACACTGTGGTGTCATAAAGCAGAAAGAAAAGAAATGAGGCTTGTGATAATTTTTATTGTGCTGGGTCTTTTCCATTCATGAGGTACCTGTGATCATCAGCTATGCCTGAGAGACACAGGCAGTCCTCAGAGCACAGGGCACAGAAGCTACACTGCATAATAATAAGGAGATCCTAGCAACAACACCAAAGCAGATGTGTTTCTGGTTTCCTTTAAAAAAATGTTTTTACTATAGTTTTTGTAAGAATGAAGGCTAAGAGGTTGGTTCTTTTCAATAAAATATTAATATGACTAATCAGGTACCCTAACTTTTGAAAACATATTTTATGGCCAAGCGTGGTGGCTCATGCCTGTAATCCCAGAAATTTGGGAGTCCAAGGTGGGAGGATCACTAGAGGCCTGGAATTTGGAACCAGCCTGGGCCATGTAATGGGACCCTGTCTATAAAATATGTTTTAAAAACTAGCTGGGTGTGTTAGTCTGTTTGCATTGCAATAAGTATTTGAGGCTGGGCAATTTATAAAGAAAAGAGGTTTACTTTGGCTCATAGTTCTGCAGGCTGTACAAGAAGCATAGTGCTAGCATCTATTCTTAGTGAGACCTCAGGAAGTTTGTAATCATGGTTGAAGGCCAAGAGGGAGCTGGCATATCACATTGCAAAAAGGAGCAAGAGAGAGAGGGAGGAGGTGCCGAACTCTTATACAACCAGATATTGCATGAACGAATAGGGTAAGAACTCACTCATTATCACAAGGAGGGCACCAACCCATTCATAAGAGATCTGCTGCCATGACCCAAACACTATCCACTACACCCCACCTCTCACATTGAGGATCACACTTCAACATGAGATTTGGAGGGGACAAACATCCAAACTATATCTCTAGGTGTGGTGGTGCATGCCTGTAGTCCTAGCTACTTGGGGGCTGAAGCAGGAGGATCACTCGAGCAGAGGAGGTTGAGGCTATAGTGAGCCATGATTGTACCACTAGTCTCTAGCCTGGATGACAGAGCAAGACCCTGTCTCTAAAAAAGAACAAATAAAGAGAAATAAATAAAATATATATTGTAAGCTGATTTTGCTTAAATAATAGCTTTTGATTATTATAGACACAACGTGATATAAGGTTTAAGGTGCACCCATTCTTTCTCAGCTATGGATGTCTTCATTTTAGGAAGGAGGGGTTAAGTCAGAGAGTGGGCTGAGGAGTCAAAGTTTCTGGGCTGAAATCTCATCTCTTCATTATACTGGCTGTGTAACAATTGGTAAATCACAGCCCTCCCTCAGTCTCAGTTTCTACATGTGCAAAGTGGGGATAATTACAGAGCTGTTGTCTGAATTTAATGAGATAATATATGTAAATAGCTTAACACAGAGGCAGACACATCACAGGTGCTCAATCCATAAAGGTCAGCTGCTATTATTTCAGTAATTTATTTCATCAAAAGATATTTTTTGAATTCCATACATGAATAAAATTCCAACAAAAATAAGACAGTAAGACAGTCCTTCACCTCAAAAAGCTCATTTTCATGAACAAAATACAGAGATGAATATACTTACATCCTAAATGCTCAAATAGAGGAAGGCATGCTCAGGTTACTGAGGTAAGATGAATAAGGGAAAGTTAGCAGCCCAGGGTGGCAGAGGAGGCTTCCAATCATACAGTATCTTCTCAGTGGGAAGAGAGATAGGGAATAAGCCATAGCAGAAGTTGCCAACCTTTTCCTGTAAATGGCCAGATAGTAAATATTTTCTGCTTTGTATCATTCATCGTCTGTGTTGCAACTTCTCAACTCTGCCATCCGAGTGAGAAAGGAGTTATAGACAATACACATACAAATGGACATGGCTATATTCCTGTAAAACTCCACAGAAATAGGCCTCTCAGAGTTCCAGAGAAACAGAACCAATAGGGTGTGTGTGTGTGTGTGTGTGTGTGTGTGTGTGTGTGTTTGTGTGTGTGTGTAGCGGGGCAGAGAGGGAGAGACAGAAAGAGATGGAGAGATTTAAGGAATTGGCTTGGCTCATGTGATTATGGAGGCTGGAAAGTCTGAAATCTGCAGCAGGGAACAGCAGACTGGACACCCAGGGAGGAGCTGATGCTGCAGTTCAAGCCTGAAAGTCGTCTGCTGCAGAATTTTCCTTTGCCTGAGAGAGGCTAGCCTTTTGTCCTATTCAGAACAATACATGAGACTCAACCATGATATCGAAAGCAATCTGCTTTACTGACAGCCCACTTATTTAAATTTAAATCTCTTCCAAAACACCTTCTAAATTGACGCATAGAATTAACCACCGCAAAGCCTTAACCAGGTTTGACCTGCTGTAGTTTGCCCATCCCTGAGCAGCAGGCAGAATTGTTTGTGCTTAAACTGAAGTGTAAGTGGAGATCCCTTTTCCCAAAATCAATGGTATGCTGATCCCAACTTAATATTAACTAGTCATTGAGTTCTACTACACCAAAACCTAAGGCTTAAGGACCAGAACAGGGTGACTAGAGGGATCTGATATTGGGTTTGGTTATCCCCAGACTGGGGATATGAAGGGGTGTAAAGTTCCTATTCTCAGTGATCCCTTACCAGAGACAGTGTGGGGAAAGAGGAAGCCAGAACTCATAAGGGAGATGGCCTTCTTCTTCAGCAAATGGGGCAGTGGGTGAAGGAGGGAGGTTAACAGAAGAAAATAATTAAAATTTAACCTTCTCAAAAGTCGTAAGAAAAAGAGAGCCCCTCCCCTTATTTTTATCTCACATTAATTCATTTATTTATCCTGATTTGTACAGAAAGACTCCTGTCATGGGTGGGTGGAGGTCTAGAAAAAAGAGAATATTGATGGATAGGAAAAGAAGAATATCCTAGAGAAAATAGAAGAAAGGAGAGCAAGGGAAATAAGTAGTGTCGAGAGTGAAGTGGGATACAATATAGAAAAGGAGGAAAAGTGGAGAAAAGGAGGATTTTAATTTAAACATAAAACTTACTTTGTATCTCTCTTCCTTGGATTTTCTATTTCAAAATCAAGTATTCTGTAGCTCAAAGTGTGTTATGGGGCTTAATTCATTTAAATTGCAAAGCATTTCAGTACCCTTACATGAAAGTATTATTGAAGTACAGTACAAAGCTCAAGTTCATTATTAATAAAACTAGTCCTTCATAGCACAGTCTTCTTCGAAAAGATTGGCTCCTTAAGAATGCCTAAGGTTAGCAGTAAATGGCCTTCATCTAATAAAAGAATCAGACAAATCAAGATATGTATGTGTCCTAACCCCTTGATGAGAGCTTTGTAAGAAGCATATCTATCACCAGCTTAAAGAAAATGTCTTGGTACAGGGGTGGCTTGTATGTCAGAGTTGTATTGAAAAGTTGCATGAAAGTGGAATAGTGTAAAGTCAATCACATTTTAAATAACCTGGGAAAGTTTGTTACTCAGTCCTACACCAAAACAAGCTATAAAAATTCAGATTTCTGGTTTTTTTAAAAAGCTAATGTAATGAGAAAGGATAGAGGAGAAATTCCATGTTACAGTTATTCACAACCTCCCTTTTTCATTCATTTCTAACAAATTATTGAAGAAATTATAGAATGTCTGAAGTCAATTTGAAGTTAAATTATAACTTCTCTGTTGACTTGGTTAACATGGTATTTTTATTTTCTTTTTGTACTGATTTTCCTTTTGTGCCTGTCTATATTGCATACATATTTCTCTAATTACTTGTACAAAATACTTGGATGAAATTCTCTGTAGAATGAGATATAAATTAATATAAACAATATTTATGTAGGAAATAACAAGAAAAAAGTAGTAGCTACAAAAGTAGGCCCTGGTGAATATTTACGGCAGTTATTAAAAACCTCATGATTTTTTAGTTAATCTTCCTAAGAAATTTCATTTATATTATCTATGGTTATTTTGAGTTTCTCTCTCCTCTTTTTTTTCTTTTTTTTTTTTTTTTTTTGGTCTCTCTGTTTGGGTATTGTGTTAGTCTCTTCTCACACTTCTATAAAGACATACCTGAAACTGGGTAATTTATAAAGAAAAGAGGTTTAATTGGCTCATGGCTCTACAGGCTGTACAGACTTCTGCTTCTGGGGAGGCCTCAGGAAACTTACAATCATGGTGGAAGGCAAAGGGGAAGCAAGCACATCTTATGTGGCCAGCAGGAGGAAGAAGATAGTGGGGAGGTGCTACAGACGTTTTAACAAGCAGGTCTGGGGAGAACTCTATCAGAAGACACCTCTAGGGAAATAGTGCTAAGCCGTTAGAAACGGCCCCATGATCCAATCACCTCCTACTAGACCCCCTCCTCCAATACTGGAGATTACAATTTCACATGAGAATTGGGCAGGTACTCAAACTCAAACCATATCAGGGGTATAACTTTCATGTTATAAGCCTTCCTTAATATCTGCTAATCCTTTGCTATGCATTTATATTTAGGAACAAGTTATCACAATTCTACAATTCTGACTGGAGATGGCTTAGCATGGCAGGCTTCACTGTAGAGTGGTCAGCTGGAGAGAGACCTCCCTGCTATGGGCATCCACAGGTCTTTTCTTTTAAACAGTGATTTCCCTCAAAAAGGAAGCCTCAGATCTATTGCCTGGAATATATAAGGCAAATGATTGGGTTTCTCAGAGATACAACTAGGTGAATAAAGGGAAGGGGAAGACCTCATAATTCAAGATGCAGATCTCACAGTTCGGTGTGTAATATTCATTTTATTCATCTGATTTTAATATTTCATTCCCATCCTCAGCTTTTTCTGGTGTTCTAGAGCATGGTTTCTCATCATTTGCACTACTGATACTTGGGGTCAGATAATTGTTTGTGGTGGGGGCTGTTGTTTGCATTGTAGGATGTTAGAAGAATCCTTCTTGGACTTCTACCCACTAGATGCCAGAAACACCCCACCACAAGTTGGGACAACCAAAAATGTCTTCATGGCATATTGCCAAATATCCCTTGGGAAGCAAAATTGAACATGGTTGAGACCTACTGTTCTAAAGTAATCCCTGTTATTCAATCTCTCCAATGTTGAATAAGAGGCTTGTCCTCTTCTGGCATGTGTCTATTTGTGTATGAGGGAGACCAGAAGAGGAGTGCAGTTATCATACTATGCAGGAGTTGATGCAGGATTCTAACCACATACCAGCTTTCAACCAATCTTTACATCTTTATCACCATTGAATCTTTAGATGTATCTGTTGTCTATAAGTCCAGAAGCTTTCCTGAATTCTGTGGTGGAAATCAACTGGTTTCTTCGTTTCTATAATGAATAATTTTACTCTTCTTTTCTCTTTAAACTCAGTTAGGAATTGTCTGTCTGCTTCCAGCTTCCAAAATTTTCTTGATGCATCTTAACTGCAGTTATTTGGTCTCTTGTTTTTTCTGTGAACCAAAAAGTATCTGAGACAGGTCTCAATCAATTTAGAAAGTTTACTTTGCCAAGGTTAAGGACACGCCCATGACACAGCCTCAGGAGGTGCTGACATGTGCCCAAGGTGGTTGACGTACACCTTGCCTTTATACGTTTTAAGGAGACATAATACATCAAGCAATCTATGTGAGATTTACATTGGTTCAATCTGGAAGAGTGGAGACAGCTGGAAGTGGGGGTGAGGTAGAGATGGGGATTCCAAATCATAGCTGGATTCAAAGATATTCTGATTGGTAATTTGCTGAAAGAGCTATTATAAATAGAAAGGAATGGCTGGGCTAGAATAAGGGGTTGTGGAGACCAAGGTTTTATCATGCAGATGAAGCCTCTAAGTAGCAGGCTTCAGAGAGAAAAGAATGTAAATGTTTCTTATCACATTTAAAGTCTGTGTTGATGTTAATGCTGATTGGCTTTTCCTGAATTCCAAAAGGGAGGAGGATATAATGAGGCATGTCTGACCCCCTCTTCCATCATGGCCTGTATTAGTTTTTCACGTTAACTCTGGAATGCCCTTGACGAGAGGAGGGGTCCATTTAGATGATTGAGGAGACTTAGAATTTTATTTTTGGTTTATAGTTCTCTTTGTCTTTAGGCATTGAAGGATTTTTTTTTTTCTTTTAACTTCTTTACTCTAATTTTTGTAAATTTTCAGAAGGAAAAGTTATAAATGTGTGTTCTGTTTATCATGCTTCTGAGGGAATTTTGAATATTAAAAGCAAATCTTTAAAAAAGTGTTTAGCCTGTGTTTATTGCAGGCTACTTTGGATTATGTCCTCAGAATGTGGAAAGTACGTTTTATTTTTGCTAGAGCATTATTACTAGCTCAAGAACATCATGACTAGTACAAGTTCATTAGTGTGTGCACAAGCAAAGGTATAGCTTCTGAAGATGGGTCTGGCAACAACTTACATCTAAGTTTTGAGAATAACCAGCACACTGCTAAAGCCATCGTTAGTGCTCAATTTATTCGGCTTGATTGGTTAACTGATTCATTTGATCCTTACAATTACTCTGTGAAGCAGAACACACAAACATTGGAATCCATAGAAAGAGACACAGTGAGGTTGACTTGTTTAACATTACAAAGCTCATTTTCAGCACATCTAAGATTTGAAGCCTAGTTCATTTCTTTTTCAACTTTCCTATTCTTTGCAGAATTAGCACAATACAGGGAAGCTCCTACAGCAAATAGGAAACAAAGAGACCATTAGTTTTAAAAAGTCAAAGAAGGTAGTGCTATCATGGGCATGTACACCTGATACTCCAAAGGCTTATGCAGCAGTAGCCTGTAGATTCTTGGGTAATGATGAGCCATCAACTGTGTACAAGCCCTGTGAAGAGATAATAATAACAGCAACAGTGAACACTCGCTGATGGTTTTACTCTGTGCCTGGCTCTATTATAAATTCTTCATATGCTGTTTCTCACTGTATCATCACAACTCCTATAGATAAGGCTCTGAGTTGGAAGAGAGTGGCTGAAACTAGAATCTCTATCTTGAAGCAATGCATTCTTCTGAAAGTACAGCCTCACCCTTTTATGATAGAGAAAGTATTATTAAATGCTGAGGAATAGGAGAATCTCAAAGTCCCATGTTCTTGACTTCTCCTGTGGTGGTAAGTGTAGGGCTACTAATGTGAACTTGTATTTAAGGAATCAAATTCAAGCTTTTTGCTTATTAATTCAAGGTTCATTTATTTCACCTTAAATTTCTAGCTCAAGCCGAAATCTCATTTTACCTGCCAATTTGGCCACCTGGATAACCCTACTTTTTTCTCAAATAGAAATTCTGAAAATTGATTTTTTTTTTTACCTGTAGCAGTTAGCTTTTGCTGCATAACAAACCATTCCAAAACTTAGTAGCATAAAACTGAAATCATATTTTAGCTCTATATTTTGCCCGTTGGTAATTTAGCTTGGGTTTAATTGAGCAGTAATAATCAACTGGGCTCAACTGACCTCCCTCATGTAACTGAAGTCACCTGGCAAATAACTGATTGGTATAGAATGCCTTGCCTGGTGTGCTTGACTGAATAATATCCTTCTCCACCTCTGAAGATGTCAACAACCTAGTCCCTGGAACCTGTGAATATCTTATCTTATATTGCAAAAGGGATTTTGCAGATATAATTAAAGCAAAGGTGAAGAGATGGAAAGATTATCCTGGATTATCTAGGTGGGTCCAATAATGTAATCACAGCTGTCCTCTCAAGAGGGTGGCAGAGAAGAATGTACTACAGAAGAGGAGAAGGCTGTTACGATAACAGAAGCAAAGACTGGAGTGATGAACTTTCTAGATGGAGTAAGTGGCCACAGGCTAAGGAATACAGGCAGACTCTAGATGCTGAAAAGGGCAAGAAAATGAATTCTCGGCTGGGCATGATGGCTTATGGCTGTAATCCCAGCACTTTGGGAGGCCAAGGTAGGTGGATCACCTGAGGTCAGGAGTTCAAGACCAGCCTGGCCAACATGGGGAAATCCTGTCTCTACTAAAAATACAAAAATTAGCTGGGCATGGTGGTGTGCACCTATAGCCTCAACTGCTTGGGAGCCTGATGCAGGAGAATCGCTTGAATCCAGGAGGCCAAAGTTGCAGTGAGCCAAGATCATGCCACTGCACTCCAGCCTGGGCAACAAGAGTGAAATTCTGTCTCAAAAAAAAAAAAAAAAAAAAAAAAAAAAGAAAAAGAAGAAGAACAGGAAATTAATTCTTCCCTTAGAGTGTACAGGAAGAACCATACCTGCTGAATCTTTGATTTTAGCTTAGTGAATTTGATTTTGGGTTTCTGACCTTCAAAATTATAAGAGAATAAATTTTTAAGCCACTTATATTTGTGGTAATTTGTTATAGTAGCAAAAAGACACCAATACAGCTGGAATGGCTGGAATGACTGAGGTCTCTTTCCAAATACCTGTCTTTGCATCCCTCCGGCATACGAGTAGTCCAAGCTTGTTCACCTAACATTGGAAGGGTTCTAAGACAGACAGACAGACAGACAGACAAGGGAGGTTGGGGTGTGAGAAAATAGAGAATACAAAAAGTCACAAGGACTCCCAAAGTCTAGGCTAGGACCTGGCACAATGTCACTTCTGCCATATTCTGCTGGCCAAAGTAAATCACAAAGGCAGCCCAGATTCAAGAGGCAGGGAAATGGTAGTCTGTCAAAGTCATATTGCAAAATGTATGACTACAGGAAGGGGTAAAGGATTGTGGCAACTTCTGCAATTCTGCAATCAATCTACCATATCACCTGCTCATCTAAATCTGCATTCCCAATATTCCTCTCTCAGTGAATGATATCACTATTTAAAGCAAAGGAATCATAGTCCAGTCTTCACTCAGCCCCTCTCCCCTCCTCCACATCAACAAGCAGATTTCTCTGAGCTCCAAAATAATTCTCAAATCTATTCCTTCTTCTCCACTCCATCACACTCCAAACCTCCACACTTAACCTCTCATCATCTCTTACCTATGCTATTTCAAATCTCTTCATCTCCCTACCTTTGATTTTCCCCACAACCACTCCAACCCTTCTTCCACTCTAATACTGGAATGGTCTTTTTATATTGTTAATTGTATTATGTAACTCATATTGCTTATGACCTTTTAGCAATTCTTCATCACTAAAAGAAAGAAGCCCAGATAGGTCTTGATGGCAGGCTAGACCGTTAGTGATATTGTCCTTACATCCTCCCTCCTTTGCCTCTCCCTCCCTCCCTCCCTTTCTGCCTTTTTTCATTTCTTCTTTCTCTCCTCAATGTCTATTCTTCCCTCTAGTCAAACTGAACTTCCATGGATCTTGTAATATTACCATAAAGTGTGGAAACAGAGATAATGGTATTTTATTATTTATGTTTATTTTGAAGACCCTGGCTTATTTCTTATGGGGATGTTAAATGTCCAGGTGCATTCAATGAAAATGAGAAGTACAATTCCTCTAAAGCAATGCATCACTGATGTTTGTGCAAGGATTGACGGAAATGGCTTATCAATGCACTGCATTCATTGCAATTTTGTACAGCCCATTGAACTACGCAACATTAGTAAGGGGTATCACGTTGAAGATACCATGTGATGTTTTAAACATGCCATATATTTTAATGTAATATCAGTAACCCATTTATAAACATTTATATTTATATTCATCTATGTTTCCAGAAATTATGGATCCTTGCATAATACCCATGATGTTTCCTGGCTCCATGCTTCCCTGTGTGAGGTGCTCTATCCTCTCTTACAGCTTTTCTGTATCCTTCAGTACTCAGATCCAGTATTAGTTTCTTTATGAAACTCTTCCTTATTATTCCATCTCAGGGGCTACAGTGTCATCCTCTTCCCACTCATTCCCTTGACCTTTTGAGTCTTAGCAAGTGAAAATTAGAACCTCTTTTGTGGAGGATTGCTAACTCCTTATAGATACATTAAACTAAAGTTGACTTCGGTATCACAGGTGCTAATATCTCAGGGACAGTAGAATCAAGTCAGTTGTGGATAAGTAAACAGAAAAGCTACTCTTTTAAGAGTTAAATTGCTCACAGCAGGCAGATAAGCTCCTCTCAGATAATAGAGAATTGCAGAAGTTAAATCATGTGTTTGAGAGAAACACTCAATCAAGTCCATCAGTTAAAAATAAACCTAGACATGCTATCGCTATAAATTTATTCTTTATCTAGGATCCTTTCTTCCCTCACTTAAAATTATTCTCCAAATCTTACATTTTCTATGAGGTCTTCATCTACTAAAATGCATCTGTGTTCAATGTGCACAGTTATATTTACCCATTGTTTTCTTTGAGTTCATAAATGTTGGGGGGCAGATACCTACTTTATGATATATTCATGAAGTACAGGGTGCATCCACAAAGCTTGATATATAATCATAATAACAATAATCTGTATTACAGATGACAGATATAAAATTGCTATGGTAGACCTCAAAATTTCAAATCAGAATAAATAAGGCTAGATGCATTTCATTAAGGCATTGCTCTCAAATCTGGTTTGTGGAACATAGATAATAATCTGCCTATTTCTAGAATGATTTTTTTCATTGAAAATATGTCTAGCAATTTTTAATACATGCTCACACAAACTTAGTTTGCATTTAGTAAATAAAGTCAGATGTTTTATTAAAATGGTGAATTAGTTTTATGGTACATCAGTTTGATGGAATATTACATAGCCATTGAAATGATGAATATGCAGACTGTCAAGATACATGGAAAACTATATACTTTGAGAAAAATAATACGCACTATGATGATATGATCACCTCTATTGTATACATTATTTGTTATACATAAAGCTTGGAAGTGGCCACAAAGCAATATAAAATGAATGTTTTCATAGCTATTATATTTTTTACATATTTAAATTTGTTTTTAAAGCAAGAGTATTTAAACAATATTTATTGAAATAAACTGTAAACTTCCAAGTCACATACATTCTTTTATTTTATTTTTATTTTTTGAGACAGAGTCTCACTCTGTCACTCAGGCTAATCACACCCAGTGGTCTGATCACAGCTTACTGCAACCTCTGCCTCCTGGGCTCAAGTGGTCCTCTCACCTCAGCCTCCCAAGTAGCTGGGACTACTGGCATGTGCCACCATGCCCGGCTAATTTTTATATTTTTTGTAGAGATAGGTTTTCACCATTTTGCCCAGGCTGGTCTCGAACTCCTGGGCTCAAATGTTCCACCTGCTTTGGCCTTCAAAAGTGTTGGGATTACAGGTATGAGCCACCACACTGAGCTCACATAGATTCTTATAATTTATGTTATGTCAGTAGAAATAAAGAGAGACATTTAAAAGAAGTTTCCACATTTTGTCAACTGTGGAATAAAGACATTGGTTAAAATGATTTCTAGTTTCCTTTGATCACTCATGATCATACATTCGTGACAATATTTAGAGGAAAGGGAGTGCTTTTTACCTTATTTTCATGACTGCCAGAAGAAATTACAGGTACTGTCTTTGGAATCAGATTGCTTACTTCAACTTATTCCTTCATCATTGAATATCTGATCTGGCACAAGTTGCTTACTCTTCCCTAAGCTCTGGTTTCCTCACCTGTAAAGTAGAGATAATAACACTTCATCTCATAATATTTCTTAGAGGATTAAATGAGGAAAAAGCATATAAAGTTCTTTGCACATTTAACTCTCATGCATTCATATACACACAAAGGCCACAACTGACCTGCCAGTAATTTTTTTTCCCAAAGAAAAGCCAATGAAAGAATATTCTGAGGAATAACGCTCTGCAACATTTAGGCTATTCTGGTTGAAAGAAATCTCAATCAGCAGGGAGTTTCACTTATTTCTATAAAAGATGTTTTTAAAAATTCAAACTGAATCCAGTAACAAAAGGCAGATTTTTGCATGATGCCTACAGTAGTGACCTTTCTGCAGATGGGGCTTTGTGATAGAGTTGCAGGCATTCTGAGAACTCATTGAACATCTTGTGAATGGATTCTTTTTGGTAAAAGGCACTGGAATTTAAGACTGAAAGTCTAGACTAGATGGGATGTCAATCATATTGCATTCAGTATTTAAATATCTGAAAGAATCATGTGTGAAACTTGTCATTTGCTCTTTACCCTTCTTCTGTAGAACACATCTAAGATACTGGACCTATGTTTGGAATCTGTGTTGTGTCACTGTCCTCACTGTGAGGTTTAATCTGAGGATACAGTGAAAGAAGACAAACAGGTACTCAAAAGACTGGTTAAAATACAGTCAAATTTTTACATAATTATATGTCTTACATATACATCTTAGCTTCATCATCAATATCATTTTTTAAAAATCCTTCAATTTATTAAGGGTGTGATTAAGGGCCTCTGAAAATTTGTGAGGGAAAGACATTTCTGTCACTCCTCTTGTAAAGCGATGCAGCTCTTTGTTATAGGGAGAGATTTAACCTATCCTTACCTCTCCAAGACCCAGTCACAGAACAGACAAGCATTCTAAGAAGAAAGCTCTGCCTCCCTAGAATCAGCATTCTCAGATGTGTGAGAGAGAATTGATGGAAAAGAATAGGAAAATTGAATAAAAATAAATGATTTTATGTTAGTAAATAATGAAGGCTTTATCTAGGGAGAGCATAAGCAGGTTCAAACTGTGTAATATTGGAGCCAGTTTCTTGAAGTTCATAGAAGGTAAATTTAAGACAAGGAAAAGACTGTTCTACAGCTTTGTGAATCTGCTCCCTCTCTTTAGGTTATGTGACTGCTTTCTTTTCAACTCCCAGAGTTCACTGGATTATAACGCTCTGTCTTTCAGATAGCAGGAGGAATTCCTTGAGGATTAATTACTCACTTTTGTTTACCTAACTTCTAGTTTTAGAAAACCAATTATAAACACTTGATTATCACAATAGTTGGAGAAGTCAAAAATTTAATTAGGTTCCAAATATGCTGATTTATCTGTAGTTGCTTAAGAAAAGCACATAGCTCTCTGAGGTTAGCGGCTCTTAGGACTACCAAGATTTACAGAAAGTATCTTTTGTGCCTCTATCAGAGGCAGAACAGGGCTAAATGATGTATTTTTGTGTTCCTGCATCCTTTTCAGATATATGGCTTTAAATAATTCTTTAGTTTGATTTCCAATAGCTTGGGATATGTATGTGATGTACAGTATTCATCTAGCTTGCACACTAATGAGCAAGTCACATAATTTTTCCAGACCTCAATTTCACCACCTATAAATTGAAGCCCTAGGACTAGATTGTCTTAAAGATAGGACTCCATTCTCAGCTTGTTTGTAACCTGGTGATCAAAAAGTAGGTACTTAGGGCCACATGCTGTTTTGTATAAAAATAGGTTCTCCTCTCCTCTACTTCAATACACCTTGACTTCAGTATCCAGCTCAAAACAAATGTAGTGAGTAAAGAAAGAAGCCGTTTTCCAACTCAGTACTAAAATAACAGTATGAGGCTGAAAATAAGTAGCTAAGAAAATTGCTTTTTGTGTTTGTATAATTTTTTTCAAGTTTGCCTATTGTAACTCTTTTTTATTTTTAAGGAAAATGTCATTAAATTGGAAGGCTTTCTGTTTCCTGCTGGTTGCCTTTTTTCTCTTCCATCTCATGCCAGATACTGTGTATTGAAAGCAATTTTAGCAGATGTAACTAATGAAGGACTTGAGTGCGTGCATATGATGTGATGTTATTTTGTGACCAGGAGCTCTTCCAGATCTCTTATCAACTTTTCTCTTGGATTGTTATAAAACTTGGTCATTGTATATTGTATTCTCTTTCTCACATGTGAAATGAACAGGGGATTATCATGCATATCTTTGGATGCTGCTGTGAGGTACACCACAAGGGATCAATATTTGTTCAACATATTAATATCCCACGGCAAATCACAGCAAGTCGTAGTAACTGCTGTTGCATTGCCTGTACCTGTCCCTGTGGCTGATTTGCCATTAACAGCTGGGGAAGTAGGCTTAATTCTGAACGCCGTGCTGTGGACAGATGGACCTCATCTCTCTTACTTTACTTGAACTACACTGCCCTCGTGGGAACTATTTCTTTCTCTGTGAAAATCCCCAAACCTCACACCTCATCACTGATAACAAAATAAGCAAGCAAACAAAAGATTTAATTTTAAAAATGAAACCAATAATATCAAAGTGAGTAGATTATATTACTTGGCAATGATACCTATCAGAACAAAATGTAAAGAATAGACTGTATACATTTATTATCATGTCATCAACACTCTCTTCTCACCTTCTCTCAGATGCATGGGATAGCTAATTAAATATGAATAGCATCAAATTCCAACAGGGTAGACATTATGGAGCCATTTAGTTCTTCTAGTCATCTGATTCAGTCCAGTTTTGTGACCACTTATTGTGTAAGGTGATTAGTAGGTTTCCTGAATTACATAAAAAATATTAACATGGATTTTCCCTTCTTCAACTTTTACTAAAACCTCTTTGAATGTGTATAAGAACAAGAACAGTCTCATAGAATATTGAGATCTTGAAGGAACATTGGAAGAATGGAAGACATAACTTGCACTCTCATGGATGAAAAATGTTGGTAGAACTACACTAACTCTACTCATGATAACTTTGTAAAGTGACTGGTCACATCTTTATTTTACAGACGAAAATACTAAGTTTTAAAAAAACGACTTGCCCAATACACAGCTTATAAATCGCAGAGTTGGTTAAAATCTAAACTTAGTACCCTTTCTACTATACCATGTTTAATAGGATGGCAGTGGTTAAGCAAAGGCACAATTCTCTTACCTGTTGCTGGAGGAAGTATAAATTGACATAACCTCTATAAAAGGAACTTGGCAATATTTATCAATATTAAAAATTTATATATTTGTTCAACATTTCCATTTTTGAAAATATATTCTACAAATTTAGGTGCACACATATGAAATGATGTAATAGCATATGTAATAACAGACAACCATATAAGGTTATACTATACAGCTAGACAAAAATAATTATGCTCCTTATATACTGATACAGAAGGATCTCTTGTTTAAAAAGAAAAGCAGGATGCACAGAACAATGGAAACAGAAAGGAAGAGAATGCTGTTTTTACATTTGTGTTAAATGAAGGGATAAAAATAAATTCAAATGTGCTCATATCTCCCTAGGTAAATTCTGGCAGGATACCCAAGAAACTAACAATAGTGCTTACCTATCATAGGGACAGAGAAGAGGTTGGATGAGTGACAGGTGTGGGAATGTGACTTTATAGAATATCACTTTTTATGTATAAAAATTTAGCCAGGTGAATATGTTCCATGTTCAAAATGTGTTGAAGACATGGTTCGAGGTGTTGATAACTTATGTTCACGTATTCACACACAAACAATAACTTCTGGTACAATACAAAAAATACTCAGTGTATATGAACATGTCTAAGAATGTAAGCCATGTGCTTTTAAAAATATTTCTAAATATTATTGATATTGAGGTATTTTAGAAAGCCTTTAGGAGATACACAGGAAGGAAGCAGGAGAATAATAGGAATTGGGAAACAGATGATGGAATAGCTTGCTTCTCTAAGTCTGCCTGTCAGTGCTGCTCTCACAGCGTATTCAGATACACCTTTGGGAGCAAAGAAAGAAATTCTCTAAGCCATATCCTACGAAGCTAAAATAGGGCCAGTTTAAAATGTTAAGTGCCTTGGCTAAGGTTTAAAGCCACTATGATTGAATGGATTGACTATGTATGTATGCAAAAGTAAGCACTTCTTGGACAAATGAGGTCCAACAACAGGCAGATGAAACAGGTAAGTGGTGTGCCCACCACTCTGGCATTTCTTCCCCCTGCTTTGATCACCCTGTCTATTGCCATATGTTGTCTTTACTCGGGCACACTTTCCTGCAGTGTTGGATCTACTTTCTCACATGCCACAAATGCGTTTTTAAAAAATAAAATCTGAACAAGATTTCAAAAAATCTATCATCATTCAAATAGGTTTTTTATACTTACTACCCTACAATAGAGCGTACCATACCAGAAGTAGTTTGTGATTATTTTGACTATAACTATTGATACATTCTTAATTCCAGATTGTACTTCTGAGTAAGTCTTTGAGATATTTTGATTCTATATGAGAGTCTTGATGGTGTAGGAAAAATCCCTGTGTATTGCACTTATTAATCTTCGGATGGGGGTGATCAAGACTGCACTTATGACTGACAATGCATAAGATATATGTCCTTCGATGTTCTTATTCTTATGCAAACTACTTTAACTTCCATATAATTCAAAAGAAATGCATTTTATACTTGAAAATTGCTAAAAGAGTACATCTTAAATGTTCTCACCACAAAAACATGAGTAGGTGAGGTGATGGATATGTTAATTGGCTTGGTTTAATCATTTTACAATATATCAAAACATCATGTTATACACCATAAATATATAAAATTTTTATTTTCCAATTATACCTTAATAATGCTGAAAAATGAGAAAAACAATGGAGCAGAACCATGTGTACATTTTTTTCAGCTTGTCCAGACTTTAGCATCTAATTTTTTATAAAGTGGAACTTGGTGTTTCACTTATTCCTTACAGCAACAAACATATTTATTAAAATGTATTGTAGTTAGGAAGGATAATATTTAAAGAATATGCAGTAAAACCTTCAGGTGCCTCTCTACTATCTACTCCTAGGGCTGTGATGCTGTCTTACTGACACAAGTAGTATAAATGTCTAGAATTTTATTTTTTCCTTTAATAAGAAAGATGATACCATGTTGTATACCTCCAGCTATGTATGTACTTATGGATGGATGAATTTCAAGTTTAAGAGAATTTGGCTGCCTCGTTTAGAACTTAATTCCCACAAAACAGGTGATCCTATTGTATACAAAGAGTTTGGATCTAGACAGATTCAGGCATGTGTATCAGCGACCATAAGCCAGTATGACCTATCTATCATTAGGGAACATTCATATCCCAACAGAACCATTTGTTAGCAGTATCAAATCGCAATAACTTTAGGCCATTTGGTGTTTTAAGGCTTATATAAACAATTAGAATAAACAAAATTTCTGTTTTTGTGGAGATATGTGTTTTTATAGATTCGTTGAAAATTTTGTGCAATAGCATCAATTAAGAAAATAAGCTACATATTAAAACAATCCAAACTCTCTAAAGTATTGTACGGTATCTTTATTATGACTGACAGATGAACCACTATAGTGTATGAGCTTTCATACAATTACAGTCAACATCACAGTTTGTCCCTAAGGGGTTCCACACTAAAGATCAAATAAAGGAAAGCTAAAATGTACACATATATTTTATACTTAATTTGAAAACATAAAAATCATTACATAGGATATTTAATTTTATTATGACCATATTTTTTGCCAAGCCATCTGTAGTTATGAGTCTTAGTTGATTGGTTTTCATAGAAATTTTCTTATTCAAGGGGAGTGACGCTGCTCAGTTTTGCCTACTTATTTGTGCAGTTCACAGTACAATCTGATCTTCCCCTGGAGAGTCTCTGCTGTTAAAAGATAGCTATTGCTTAGTCAGCTATTCAGATTTTAGTGGGATCCGTTGTTAAGGGAAGAGGAGTGGGTGGAAGATGGATAGACTCAAAAAAACTCTTTAAAGACTAGGTTGAAGCAATTTTCAGAGGGCAAAGCGGAGAATAATTACAAAGAAATTCTTTCTGAAAAAGATCAATAACTAGGAAATTAACCTTTGAACTCACTGTCATAGAAAATCTATTTAATAACCAGAAGACTAATTTTTAAATGGATTCATATTGTCTAGTCCAACTTTTTCACACAAGAAAAAGGAAGCCCACAAAGCCTCACTCCAATAAAAGGGAAAACAATGCTTCTCTCGGATTCACAAAGTAACATATAACTTATGAGGAAAGTTACAATCCTCTCCATCTACCACATTCAGATGTAGTTAAGGTTTAATCTAATGCAGTGTGCTTATATTTACATAAACAGAAAATGAATTTAGCTGAAATAGAGGAAAATTATAAAGTGTAGTGAAAAGTTTCTATGCATTACTTATATTTACTATTAAAAAGTAAAAAAAAAAAACTAGCAATACTATAGTTACTGTAGAATAGATTTATCATTTCCGGCATATGAAAAGACCTATAAAAACGTGTTTTTTCCTTGGTGTTTTAAAATTCAGCTTTATTAATAGATACTTTACACACACTATTTACTAATTTTTGATGTATATTTTGATGAATGTTGAGCAATGTATACAGCTGTGTATTCTCAACCGCAATGATGATATAGAACATTTCCATTTACTCAAGAGTTGCCTTATGACCCTTTGTAATCATAATCCTTCCCTCATTCCTATTTTCTGGCAACTACTGACCTTTCTGTCACTACAGTTTTTGACTTTTCTAAGCTCATATAAATGTAAAAATATACTGTATTTTTGGCTATTGCATACAGCATAATATTTTATTGATTTTCATTGCATGTATAAATAGTTAGAACACTTAATAGCTGAAAAGTAATCCATTTTATGGATGTACTACAAATTGTTTATCAGTTCATCAGTTGATGGATATTTGGGTTATTTCCAGTGTTATTTGGCTCTTGTGAATAAAGCACCTATGAACAAAATATTTTTGGTCATATCTATTTTTAATCTTGTGTAAATACTTAGAAGTGGAGTTGTTGGGTCATATGGTAAGTATATCTTTAACTTTATGAGAAACTGTAGTTTTTTTCTAAAGTAGTGATTAATCTATTTTACATCTCCACCAGCGGTGCCTAAGCATTCCAATTGTTCCGCATCATCACCAATATCCTGTATAGTTCTAGACCAGGAAACTATTTTGGCCATAAATCACAGCAAGAATTTCATTTTACAGTATAACCCATGATGCACATTCATAACTAAAATATATTTTAAGAAACAATATTTTTGGTTTACTCCAAGCAAACCAGTCTGATTTTTATTGTCTACTCTCATATTTTGCTACAAAATAAAAATGCTTGTCCCTACAACTAAACTAATTTTACAACTTACTTTACTAATGGCTTGACCTATAGTTTAAAAAATAATGCTCATGCTTTTGATTCACATCTACATAGCTACACAAATATCTAATTCTGAGTTGTTGGCTTATTATTTATAATAAGACCATGAATATATGGTGTAGCATTATGATTTTCACCAGGAATTGGTTACTTTGGATTAGAAGGGAAAGAAGGCTGAAAAATTAATCTGGGTTTGGGGTTTTGCCAAATAGATGAGACTGACCTAAAACAAGGCAGGAAATTGACAGCTAATGGTTGAACTTTGAATTGAATCAGGGCTGCCATGTGGTAGAAAGTAAGTGTTACAGGTAGCAAGCCTGTACCAGAAGATAGATTACATTGGCCACAGTCTGGAGCCATTGTGCAACCATCACTCTCAGCTACCAAAATGACCACGTGTTCTTTACCTTTTCAAACTTTTACATCAGAGTGCCAACAAATAGATGTGGCTTTTTTTTAAAGTTATTAGTAATGACTAAACTTTCATTTAAAAAGAAAACTGAAATTATTATAGGAAACTTAGGTTTAGCCATTTTATTTATTCATAGAGTCCCTTCATGTTTTGTTTTGTTTTCATATTTGTTTAGGAATTACGGACAGCAAGATAATGGATAGACTGAAACCTAAGAGGCTAAAGATAGTAAATGAGGTTGGTTAGATTGATATTTCAGTCTGTGGGTAGTAGGTTTATAGAAGGTTTATATAAATATAAAAAATAAATATATTTTATATTTAATAAAAAACATTTTTCTGTGTGACTCACAGATTTTGTCTCATTTTCAAAAAATTTGCCCTGGCTTTTTCTTTTCTCATTAAAATTCACCAATATTATTCCTTTCATTGTTAAGTATTCAGCTAAAAGCTGAGCTTTTGAAGGCTTTATATTAGAAGAAACTGTGTCAAGTTGCAGAAATCGTTAGTACACTGATTCAACCTTTCAGATTAGCAAAGGAACATGGTCCAAGGTCAGTGAATAAATTACACTGTATCACAAAAAGAAAATTACACCCTGACATAGTATGATTTTAATAAAAAATGAAAATGGGATTTATGACCCCCTTTCTTCAGGCTACTAATGTTCATTGCCAAGAGATGAATCCCTTCTGTGACATTAAATGTGAGATGGGCTACAGAAAATGTTGTGGACTAATTCACTTGCCAAGAAGAGAGGCAAAGCATATACATGCATACATTTTTATACCCATCTGCTATCACAATGAAGCCAAATATGTTTTAGGCAAACAAATCAGGCCAAATAAGTTCATTTTTTCCCAGTGCAATAATGGAAAACTAATGAATTAATGAGACGCAGGTCTAACAATTAACAGAAGGAAAGTAACAATGTTGACTGGAAAGAAGTGACAATCATATAGATTGAACAGCTGAAAAATAATTGAATACCACCCTTCTAGGAAGCATTGATAGGCTACTGTCAATCTGGAAGGACATGTTGTACTGAGTCTTTAATAACACACCTCTAAATATAATATTAATGAATACTGTCATTAACAACTAATAAAAACAAGTAAAAGAATATGAAAAGCATAATTTAAATATGTAACAAGTATAACGGCACTGCAACATGATGTGGGTTTGGATCAGCACACATTATACCCTGATTAAATTTGAGAAATTGGTTAAAACCAATAAGATGAAATCCATTTAGAACAAATGTAAAATGGCTCAGTGATGGCAGAAATTAACAGATGCCCTCATTCAGAATGACAAAAACTGAGACAGACTCTATATGATGGTTGAATGCATGGATTAATGAAGCTGTTAATAAGATAACATTTTGCTAAATATGTCATGGAGGAATATCTCCTCCAGCAGTTAATATTTTTACTTAGGCTTAAAGAGAAAACATTAGTTTACAAACTCTAAAGTGTCAAGATGCTGCTCATCAATTGTTTTATTAAAACTCTTCTTGACAAAATAGGACATTGCACAGCATAATTAATAAAGAACTTTCATCTACTTAAGCACCCTTTGTGTTTAGAGGATAACCTCTCTTAATTCAATCCTTGCTTGGTATTGCTAATGCATCTTTCTAACTCCTGTTTAGACTGTCTCCCTTTTTGCTCCCAACCCCTTAAACCTTCCATCTGTACCTCTGCCTCCATTTCCTACCTACTTATTTTCTGAAGCCCTATAATCAATCTTATGTTTTTACATTTTGCTCAAATATTTTCACTTGCTACATATTGAAATGTCCTTCCTGACTCTTCACTGGTTTTCCTCCAGGCTTTATTTTCCTTTGAAGTCTAACATTTTGCATCATAGGCCATTCGCTTTTCTTGAAATGCTTTATTCTTTTGTCTTCTGCACTTACATTATTTCTCTTTACTCTTCCCCACTCTGGCCCTTCCTTCTTGTTCTGTTTTTAAAGGATCTCTTCTTTTCTTCTGCCTACGAACAATAAGGTTTTCTAAATCTGTGTGCTCAAACCTTTTCTTTCCTCTGTATATTCAATCTACACATGTATTTTGCTGCCCTTTAGGGATTCAATTAACATTGCTTTCATTATCTAATTCTCTTATCTGCATCTCCAGCCTTGACCTCTTATCCTGGTCCTAACTCAGCTGCTTATTCAACTAGTTGAAAATGTATATTTATTTAAATTTCCATAGTTACTACAAATTTGACATTTTTGCTTGGAGTAAGATTTCATTTGCAGTCATTTTTCTACTTCATTTACATGATTAGAACCACTACACCCCCACTCTGCTAGGTTTTGACTCTTGCATTTTCCTGCTTTTCAGACCAGATCATTCATCTCCAGGCCCCATGTGATCACTGTTCTCAGAGCATTTCATGCAGTGTATAATTGATGTGGAGGCTTTCTGTGTGGTCCTGTGCCTTCACTGTGTCCAGCTTCCATCTAACCTGCACTCTGATGCCCCCACAAATTTCCTTAACATATAACCCATTATTTTTCCAGTTGAGAACTTTCCATAATTCTTGAAGCCCAATATGTTAAATCAAAGCTGCTCTGCTTATAGCTCAGTCTTTCACAATCCATCCCCTTTCACCTAAACAATTTTATTTCCATTCTTTCTACCATATGGTGTCTGCTGTAGTTAGGCCATTTTCATTTTTATTTCCTCCTTATGCCTAACCCATGATGATTTTTATATCTGAAATAGCAATTCTTCAATTTCAGACCAAGGTTTTCTTGTAAGTATCTCATGATCTGTGAATTTTCTTCAAAATGTACTTCTTCAAAGTACTTTCTTTGTTTCTTTTGGGTCAATGTTGCTCGGTTCCAGAGACATTTTAGTTTTTGATTGTCAGCTTACTAAAAGTCATGACAAAATTGTTGTGATATTCACAATTACTATAATTTATATTCCTAAACAAAAACAAGAATATAACTATAGTTTGATGGGGACACTTGTATATTATTCTATTAAGAGTGTTACCTCCTTCGCAACATTGTAGAGCTCCTAGTTCATATAAAGCAGAGAGGTGGAATTCTCAGACTATTACAGAAGGATTTGATGGTTGTTGTTACAGGTATAACATCAGTGTTATTTTTTTCACAGTCTTTTTCATTTGTATAAATTTTTGATTTTGTTTCTAAACAAGAGTTAATTTAGCTCTATCATGCTTAATCTAGCTTGTTGTGAGTGGATTCATCAACCCTACAATGTGTGGTGATGTGTATTGGTGTCATCAAAAATGTTGGCTTATAAGCATCTAATTACTAGACTTTAGAAATATATGGGATGCAGTCAAAATATGAATGCACAATACCTCTAAGTCAAGTGCATAAAAATTTGTATATTGATACTTCATTATTTTATCTCACAAAAGTGGTAACAGGCTGGGTAGGTCCTTTGCTCTGCTTAAAAATAATTTTTAAGGCATTGATCTAAAATATCTAATCATGTTTGGTTTGTTGAATAGCTTCTCTTGCCCCACAGCTTGTTCATAGCTCTGTTATGAAGTTGATGTTTGAATGCAAGGATGTCTCCACGCTATATCTTGCTCTGACTTTCATTTCAAATCTGGATTTTGCTCAGCATTTATCTTCTTAAATTTGATGAAGTTAATAGAGCATACTGGCCAAAAGCAAAGGCTTTAGTTAACCTAGCCTAACCTGGGTTCAAAGTACAGCTCTTTTCTTGTCTGGTGTGAAATTGAGTACATTACTTAAGCTTCATATTTCTCTTCTATAAAATGTGTTATTAGTTAACCATATGATCATTGGGATAAAGTAAATCATCAATAAATATTAAATATCGATATGCTCCAGACTATCACTTTCCTATTGAGCCTCTCATTGCCTGGGACTAAATATTCAGGGTTTTTTTGTTTTTATTATTGCGTTAGTTAAATGTATTTGATTTGTATGTTCAAAAACCTAGTTACACCAAAATGACTATATGAGGATACAACGATGTTTCATAAAGCAGGAAAATATCCTGTGCTGAAGGAAAAGGTGAATCCAGAAATGTGATGGCACTCCATTTTCTTTCCATGTTTTTCACTTTAGCTCCATTATGTGCATCTTACTTCAGTATTCTTCATCCCTGCAGGCTGAGTATCTACTTCTGAGTCTACAGAGTGAAAAACATGGTTGACAATAGCTTGTGAATTTCTGATTCCCAGTCTGGTCAACCAGACAAAGAAAAAGATGACATCTAAGCCCATTTCAAAATATCCAGTTGGTCCAATTAGAGGAAGGGATGATTGTTCCAGATTAAGTACTGGGCCCATTTTAATCTATCATTTAGAGTAGCAGAGAATCATGTTATATGAACATGACTGCTCCTGCTCTAACAATATATTATGAGACATTACCCAGAAAATAGAACGTTTTCCAGAATCAAGGAATCAGGAGGGCTGAGTAGATGACCTAGTAAATGTCTCTGTTGTTATTAACACTGGCTCAACCTGAACCCCCAAACATAGGTCATACTTGAGAAAGCTTCTTCTTAACTGGGAGGAAAGGCTAGACATTAATTTATTGCCCTTTTCTGCTTCTTCAAATTCTATCCTAAGAACCAGCTCACTTAGCAATCTCCTCTAGCACTTTTTAAAATTATTTATTGTCCAACATCATAATCTCTGAATATAGAAGTAGGTTAATAGAGTTCATACAAAGTGTAACACTAACCTACTTCCATAATTTCAAGACTTGGGACTATTTTCTTTCTATTGAATTCTGTCTTTGTCAAAATGATATAAAGCTTTATATAGATTCTGTATATGTCTGTGGTGGTTAAAGAAATAACCACACAATTTATTGATATTCCTTTTATCTTGAGGTGAGGTCTTTGTCTTCTCCCTTGATTATGGGAGAGCTTGTAATTGCTGTGACCGATACAGCATGGCAAAAGCAATACTATGTGATTTCTGAGGGTAAGTTATAAATGACGGTATAGCCTCCACTTTGTTTGCTGGAATATTTGTGCTGAAGCCCTGAGCCACCATGTAAGAAGTTCCACCCTGTTTTGTTTTGTTTTATTTTGAGACAGAGTCTCTCTCTGTTGCCCAGACTGGAGTGCAGTGGCGTGATCTCAGGTCACAGCAACCTCCACCTTCTGGGTTCAAGTGATTCTTGTACCTCAGCCTCCCAAGTAGCTGGGATTACAGGCATGCTCCATCATGCCCTGCTAATTTTTGTATTTTTAGTGGAGATGGGGTTTCACACTGTTAGCCAGGCTGGTCACGAACTCCTGACTTCAAGTGATCTGCCTGCTTTGGCCTGCCGAAGTGCTGGGATTACAGGTGTAAGCCACCACACCCTACCTAGAAGATCTACCCTGAGCATGTTGTAGAGGACATCTGTAAGCATGTTCAGCAGTTAGGCATTACCTGCTAGTCCAGGCACCAGAGTGAGCAGATCTCCAGATGATTGTAGCCCCCAGATATCTAGTCACTATCTGCCTTTGAGTCTTCTCAGCTGAGGTCCCAGACACTGGAGATCAAGACATCCCCACTATGTCATTTCTAAATTTCTGACCAACCAGATGCAAGAGTATATTAAAACAGTTGTGGGTTTTTTTTTTTTGCGATTCGATAATGAAATAATCTGTTACACAGCCATAGCAACTGGGTAGCGTCCTTTGTCAGTTACATAAATTCTCTCACTCTGTAGCTTGTATTTTTATTTTCTTAATGATGGCTTTTGATGAAGAGAAGTCCAGTTTTCAGCCTTATTCTTCATGATTAATCTTTTTAGTGGTTCTGTTTGATAAATGCTTTCCTACTCCAAGGCCAAGAATATATTTTCCTATATTAATTTTTACAAGTGTTATTGTATTACTTTTATCTTTTAATCTATAACTTAATAGAAACTAATTTTCTATATATGATGTAAAAGCCAATATTCATTTCTTTTTGCTTATGGATATCCAATTGACCCAATACCCTTTATTGAAAAGCTGATCTTTTCTTCATTTGTGAGTGGGTCTATTTCTGGATTATCTATTTTGTTCTTCTGGTCTATTATCTTTCCTTGAGCGATTCCAAATCTAAGTTACTGTATCTTTATAAGTCTTTATATATGATTGCACAAGTTCTTTGAATGTCTTTCTTCAAGATAGTAGAGGCCCTCGCTATTTTGGGGCCTTTTCATTTCTACGTGAAATTTTAAAACAGCTTCTCAGTTTACACAAGCATACAAAAATATACACACATACACCTGCTACAATTTTTACTACAATTAGACATTGGACATATGGATCAATTTTGGGAACATTTACATTATTACAATATTAGATGTTCCAATCTATAAACAAGGTTTATTTCTCTACTTGGGTATGTTTAGTTTCTCTCAATAATGTTGTAGGGCTTTCTATAAGAAGTGTTGCATATATTTTGTAGAGGTATTTCTTGATATTTCATATTGTACTTTTTAAAAATTTTGTTTTTTAAAGAGTAATTTATTTTCCGTTTATTTTTTAATATTGTATTTTTGTGTTGTGTTTATGTATGTGTGTGCACATGTATGTGTTGACTTTGTACACAGTGACCTTATTAAATTCATGTACAAAGTAATATTTATTTTATATGCTTTTGGATTTTCTTTATTCAGAACTACGTTGTTTGAAAATCATGACGCTTTTATTTTTTCCTTTGTAGTTTTTTTTTTTTTTTAAAGTTTGGTAGCACGATAGGGTGACTATTGTTAGCAATAATTTATTGTATATTTCAAAATAACTGAAGGGTAGATTTGGTATGTTACAAACACAAAGAAATAATAAATTTTCAAGGTGATGAATATCTCAATTACACAGATTTGATCATTACATATTGTATGCTGATATAAAAGTATCAACTGTACCCCATAAATATTTACAAGTATTATATAATCATAAAATTATAAATTCAAAAAATTTTAAGTTTATTATTTTTGGGTCCTGGCTAGGACATTTGTTGCAATATTTAATAGAAATGGTGATAGCCAGTATCTTTTTTTATTCCCATACTTGGGATAAAGTGGTCAATATTTCACTATAAAGTAAGATAATCTTTCTGATTTTTTAAAGATATACTTTATGATAAGTATATCTTATGTAACTTCCCTTTATTCTCCAGTTTGGGAAATGTTGTTTATATAGGTGTATATATATATTTTTTTAATCATGAATGAGGTAGAATTTTATCACATGCTTTTTTCTTTCTATTGACATGATTATGGGCTTTTTCTCCTATTATTAATATGGAGAATTATAATAATCAGTTCTCAAATGTTAAATCAATGTCACATCACCATAATGATGCATTTTAGTTGTGATATAATTTTTATATGTTGCTGGATTCTGTTGCTGTTTTTTATTTGCGTCTATGTTCATGAGAGAAATTGACCTATAATTTTTCTTTCTTGAAATAGCCCTGTCAGATATTATCTCTGCTAGTTTTATGTGTATACATATATGAGAAATTTTATATATAATAACTATATGTAAACTTTTATACACAACTTTATATATGTATTTGTATAGGGAACAATGTGTCTGAGCTGTGCCATCTTTTCCCAACAAATTGGAATTATTTTTTAATTTCATGTAAATGAAAGCATTGGGGTCTAGAGCTTCTTTGCATGAAAGTTTTTTGTTTGTTTCTGTATAGAATAAAATATAAGTGTATGCAAAGTTTTTAGTATCTATACCTCAAATGGATAGGAATATTCAGTTTTCCATTTTTTTGTGCATTTTTTTAACATTTTACTTTCTTAATCTCTATAACGGTCCAGAAATGAAAGAAAGGAATGTTCATAGTCCATACAGAATACAGGATAAAGGTCTGTATTCTGTTTTACAGAGCAATTTTTCCCCTCTAGATGTGATATTTAATATTTCTCCAGAGCAACAAAATGTGTTTAACTTTTCTAACATTCTCCCCACGTGTTTCCTGTGCAAGACTATTCATAGCTGAGATTTTCTCCATAATAAGGAGATATGAGGCTAGAGATGCTTTATGTTCTTCCACAAAACAAGCATATTTGATTTTGATTTCTTATTCAATGATTTACTTTATTATTCTATCATTGTTTTCTACAGTTATCTTTTTTCCACTTTCCTTTTCTGCAGGAAAGTGGTTTTTGTTTGTTTGTATGTTTTTATTATTAACCAAAATCCGTATTTTATTCAGATTTCCTCAGCTTTTTCCTAATATCCTTTTTCTGTTTCAGGATTCCATCCAGATTATCACATGACATTTAATGATCATGTCTCCTGAATGTCATGTGACAGTCTCTCAGACTTTCCTTGCTTGGATGACTTTGACAGTTTTGAGGGCTAGGTATTTTGTAGAATATTCCTGAGCTGAGATTTGCCTGATGTTTTCCCCATGACTAGACTGGGGTAATGTGTTTTAATGTGTGTTAATGAGAGGAAGACAACAGAAGTAAAGTGCCATTCTCATTACATCACATGAAAGATACCCACTATATGAAATTCTTAGTGATCCAGAGGTTCTTGCAGCCATGCAGGATCCAGAAGTTATGGTGGCCTTCCAGGATGTGCCTCAGAACCCAGCGAATATGTCAAAATACCAGAGCAACCCAAAGGTTATGAATCTCCTCAGTAAATTGTCAGCCAAATTTGGAGGTCAAGCGTAATGCCCTTCTGATAAATAAAGCGCTTGCTGAAGAAAAAAAAAGATACCCACTATAAATATGACTCATTACTGTCGATGTTCACTTTCATCACCTGAGGTGAGCCAGTGTTTCTCATTTCTCCTCATGGCAAAGTTACTCTTTTATCTCCTCTCTTTGCAAACAGTACGTTTTGAAAAAAGTCATTATGTGTAGCCCATAATTAAAAAGCATGGAATTATATTCCTTAAGCTTAGGGTATTTATATATATTGAAATTCTTTTGCACAGGAAATGTGTCTATTTTCTCCCATTTATTTATTCAATTATTTATTTAAATCAGTATGTATTCATAGATATTTATTTTACATATTTATAATTAGAGGATTATAATACTTTTTGTCACTGTTTTTCAAATTGTGCCAGTTGGACGACTGGGAGCTCTTTCATTTGGCTACTTTACCCCTTTAACATACAAACATTATTGTGAGGTTTTTTTGTTATTATTTATTTGTTTGTGTTCTGAATACTTTCTTAATTTCTAGCACCACATGTTTTAAGTTCATTCTGTATATTTTCTGCGCCAGTCCTAAAATCAGCTATTTCTCCAAGGAATCTTGGTTTATTTTATTAAAGAATTGGAATTAGAAACCAAGATTTGGGCAGTACATATGCCCTCTTGTATAATTTTTGATGTTATGTTTTCATAGTAATTTTACATTTTGGTCATGTAAAACCAAATTGTTGGAATAAAGTTGTTTGTAATATGTTTATATTGTGTTTTTAAAGTCTGTGTTATCCTTAGTGATATTACCTTTAACATTTGCCATTGGTTACGTTTGCATTCCTTTTCTCCTGGAATAGCTTTGCTAAGGATATATAAATAGCATTAGTCTTTTCAAAGAAATAACTTCTGGCTTCGTTGGACCCCTTTATCATATATATATATATACACACACATATATATGTATATATACACATATATATACACACACATGTATATATACATATATATACACGTATATACACACACATATACACATATATACATGTATATATATACTTGTATATATATACACGTATATATATATGATAAAGGGGTCCAACGAAGACAGAAGTTATTTCTTTGAAATAACTTCTTTGTGTGTGTGTATATATGTGTATATATGTGTGTATATGTGTATATGTGTATATGTGTATATATACATATGTGTATATGCGTATATGCGCATATATACATATATGCGTATGTGCGCATATGTGTGTATATATACATATATGTGTATATGCGTATATGTGTATATATGCATATATGTGTATATGCGTATATGTGTATATATACATATATGCGTATATGTGTGCATATACATATATGTGTATGTGTATATATACATATATGCATATGTGTGTATATACATATGTATGTGTATATATACATATATGTATATGTGCGTGTATATACACATATGTATATATGTGTGTGTGTATGTGTGTGTATACATACATATATACACATATATACACACACACATACATATATATAAAAAATAGTATTTTAAAATATACTGGCTTGTTTTGTTTTGTTTTGTTTTTTGTTTTTTGAGGTGGAATCTTGCTCTGTCACCCAGGCTGGAGTGCAGTGGCATGATCTCAGCTCACTGCAACCTCTGCCTCCCGGGTTCAAGCAATTATCCTGCTTCAGCCTCCTGAATAGCTGGGATTACAGGCATGCGCAACCATGCTCGGCTAATTATTTTGTGTGTATTTTTAGTAGAGACGGGGTTTCACCATGCTGGCTAGGCTGGTCTTGAACTCCTGACCTCAGGTGATCTGCCCGCCTCGGCCTCCCAAAGTGCTGGGATTACAGGCATGAGCCACCACGCCCAGCCTGTTTTTTATTTTTAAAAAATTTTGTTTCTTTTTTTCTTTTTTAAGTTTACATTGCTATTCTCTTTAAATGTCATTTTGAGATGGATGGGTAGATCACTAGTATTTGGCTTTTCTGTTTCTAATGACGGGGATTAACTTTATACATTTCTCTCTAAGCAGTCTTTTGCTGTATTTAACAAGTTTGGATATGTCATACTTTCACTGTTATTTGCTTTGAAATATTCTCTAAATTGCATTGCATTTTTTTGATTCATGTGTTATCTAGAAATGCATTGATTAACATCCCAATATGTGGAGATTTTCTAGTTATCATATTGATAATTTCTAACTTAATTTATTATCAGAGGCAATACTCTGCATGATTTCAATAATTTGATTTTTGTAGCCCATTTGATTTATAGTCCAGGATATGGCCAGTTGTGGTTAATATTCTTTATACACATGAAAATAATGTATATTTTAGGATTGTTTAGTACAGTGTTCTATATGTCAATTAGATCAAGTTTGTCAATTGAATGAACAAAGACAAAATAGCTTTAGAAAAATAGTATATCACATCAGAAATACAGGTACAATTGTTTTTCTACATTTCTGTAATATACAACATTAACCTTTGTAGAAAGCAGTTAAAATACAATTTCTAGGCTTGCTGCTAGAAATTGGCAAAGTGGAACCCCAGCAATAACTTCAGTCATTGTATGCAAATTACATTAGACTCTCTACGGAAAGTGGGGTAATTGGAGGAAATTTTTTTGAAGTTGACAACTTTCTTTCCATTTGTGGGCTGTAACCACATGATGTAATAATATATCTGACTGTTAAAATGTAGCTATGTGCTTACTGTGACTAACATAAAAATATTATTGCAACATACAGGGTAATGAACCACCTTCAAATAGAAACAAGAACTAATATTAAGTGGGCAATTATAAATGTCAGAGATTTAATTTGTGTTTTCCTGGTTTAGTCATCCTTGCAACCATTGAAATATATGTGATTAGTCCTAAATATAGATAAAGAAACTAAAGTATAGTTGCTATAATTTCTTGCCCAAAGTAGTGGAGCTATTAAGTGGCAGAGTAGGAATTTTTCCTTAGGCTTCTCTGTTTTCGGAACTTTTACTCTTTGGAGTAAATGTGTATACCATATCTAGACTGAAAAAAGGAAAAGGAAAATCCCAAATGCAGTTTAGTATGGAAGTAATTCATATAGCAGAAAGCAATCCTGGAAAGATCTACTAACCTTATCTACTTTATATTTTTCTCTCCTTTTATTCTTCTGCTTTTCCAATCACTAAAGTTATCAAATGTAAAATCAGGGCTGAGGATAAGCTTATCAGATGGGAGTTGTGAATGTTAATAATATAAGCAGTGTTTAAAATGTATTTACTGACAAGCACATGTGCATCTTCTTAATTATTACTTTGCAATACTGTACTCTAAACTATTTACCAAAAAGATTATAAATTTAGTTATTTAATTTTTAAAAAGAAGAGATTCAAGCATGGTTGTATAAAAGAAAGCCATATTTTTAAATGCCATTGCTCTGCCACCAAATGGCATGGCAACTACACCCTGCACTTTACTGAAACAGAAATGAAGATGAATAAGAAGAGAGAGTGTAGAAGTAAGTTAGAAACACAAGGGCAGAGGTTAAAGAAAGAAAAGAATTATACACACAACAGAAAAAGAAAGGAAAGAAAAAATTAAGGAGGTTAAAAAAAAAAAAAAAAGAAAAGTGAAAGGCAGAGATTTGGGGGAGCAGAGTCCCAGTCTTCATTGAGTCAACATCGTCCACTGTCTCCACACTCCATTTTTCTTTGTCCATGCTTAGTTACTTTTACTTTTATTATTTTTTTTAATTTTCAACTTCTTTGTAGATACAGGGGGAACATGTGCAGCTTTGTTACTTGGGAATATTGCATGATGCTGAAGTTTGGAGTATGAATCCCATCACTCTGGTAGTAAGCATAGTACCCAATAGGTAGTTTTTAACCCACCTCCCCTCTCTTCACTCTCATAGTCTGCAGTGTCTATTGTTCTCATATTCATGTCCATGTGTGCTCAGTGCTTAGCTCCCACTGATAAGTGAGATCATATGGTATTTGGTTTTCTTTTCCTGTATTAACTTGCTTAGGATTATGGCCTCCGGCTCCATCCATGTTGCTGCAAATGACATGATTTTAAAAATATGGATATTGTGCTTTCTGTCATATGAACTAATTATGCTGGTTCTATCCCTTTCATTCTTGAAGTTTATAAGTCAAATAACATATATTAAATATTTATACTTTTTCTGTAGACAATGGTTTAAATGTAATTCACAAGTAAATCTAAAGTATACTATTACCTACTAGTATATAAAGAAGTGCCATTAGTGGCATTTAAAAAAAAAGAATGGAAGAGATGTGATAAGAGGAATAAAATGGATGGACATGAAAAAACATGTTAATATTATAGAAATAGAGGTTGGAAGTAAGAAAGGGGAAGAAGCTGAATACATTTGCAGGAAAATAAATGAAATAAGTTAGCTTAAAATGAGTCCAGGGCAACTCAAGTCATTGCCTACCTGCAGGAGGATGGTGAATGAGGAGGAAAAAATGTAAATGAATGAGATGGTAAGTGGGAGTGATGTATAAAGTTGGCAGGGGGTACCAGCGTTATGAGGCAGAAAATGGCAAAAAATTGCAAAAAAAGCCTTCTAAAATTTGAGTGACCAGTGAATAGTACTTAATCCTGTGATTTTCTGAATAATGACTAAATTGAAGAAAAATTATATAAGAAAGAGCAGAAGAATTTCCCTTTCTCCACAGGTTATTTCCTGTTTTGTTTTCAATCTACCCATCTTTCACTTGAAGAACTTGTATCAAAAAGGTTCTTTTTGAAAACATACATGGTATGTGAAAATGTGCTACATTCAAAAAGGAGGGAAGAGAATATACATGTTTTATGTGTGCCCCTGAGGGTGTTCAGAAGCAATTTTTAAAAATTCAACTACAAGACTAGAAGAACAGTTTATGTCTTTAAAAAGTCAAACAGTTGGAAGAGACAGTGTGAATGTGCTGACACATTCTGAGTTTTTAATTAATGAATGATCCAGGTATTTTAGGAATAAAAGATGGTGTTTCAAATTGTCATTCTAAGAGAAATTATTTTTGATAGAAACATGAAAATTCTTTACTACAACAATTTAATGATTTCTTGACTTTCTATTTCTATGTACTTATGATTGCACCCTGTACTTTCATACATTATAATCAGTAATCTGGCAGGTGGGATTTTTGTCCTTTAAGATAAGTTTCTGTTAAAATTTTGAAAGATGTGTCTTAAGAGTGGGTGTGTATGAGTGCATTTACACACCCTCCCATCTAGCTTGTGTTTGGAAGAGAGCTGTAGCTGTGGCATCTTCATTTTTGTTGTTGTTGTTTTGCAAAGCTGGCCTTATGCAGGCAAAGGGCTGATGACTTTTATACTATTATTGTTTTCAATTAATTATAAAAATCCTCCCTCCCTGCTTTATCCCTTGACATGTTTCTCACTCTTATTCCCTGGAGATTAATGGGGGCAGAATAGCAAACACAGATGATTCTGCAGCAGGGATGCGAGATTCATTTTCAGGATTCCATTTTGAGCCAGCATATTGGTTCTACCTGCTGCTTGGTGCTAAAGTCATTATTGAATTTAGCAGATGGAGGGGGAGAGTTTTAAACTGGGGGACACAGATGGAGAGCAGACTTCAGAGAGAGGATTATTCTAGAGTTTAGTGAAAGGTTGTTTTGCTTCAAAACAAATCCTTAGAACTAGAAAAATTAAGCCTCTATGCCTAGACACAGAGATAATGTACACAATTAAAAGCAGTCAACCATCCAAGAAACATGTTCTGACCAATGTTTTATCCACCAAGAATTAATGAAACCTAACAAGCTGAAGGTTAGCTTTAAAAAAAAATCTTTATTAAACTTTCTCTTTAAATCTTCTCTTAGCAGTAACAATACAAATAAGAAAAGGGATTTGCATTTTTATAGCTAATGGAGATATAGAGGAGCAATGAAACATGAGATAGGATATTGGATGCTTCATAAAGACCTCATAGTTGGTATCACAGTCAGCCCTGTGTATCCACTGCTTGGCATCTATGGATTCAACCAACCGTAGATCAAAAATATTAAAAAAAATTTTTTTAAACCAATGCAACAGTAAAAATATAAATATAAAACAATACAGTATAACAGCTATTTGTATACTATTTAGTTGTATTATGTATAAGTAATCTAGAGATGATTTAAAATATATGGAGAATGTACATAGGTTATAGGCAAATCCTAAACCATTTTATATAAGGGATGAATATCCCCAGATTTTAGTGTGGGGAGGGTTGTCCTGAAACCAATTTTTCAAGAATACCAAGGGAGAACTCTACTGCCAGTAAACGCCAGTTTACTAATTTTCTTTGAGAAATATAGCTGTGTTCTAAGAATTCAAAAATTCAAATACTCAAGCATATCTCTCTGTATTGAGAGCACTGTGGAAAAACAAATCATAACTAGATTATAGCAAGTACAGATAGTTTTCTACATAGTGAAATCATTACTTCTGGAAAGAATCTTCTGGATGTTTGTTTAGTAAACTTCATTGTTATTTCCACAATTGATATGTGCTTGCTGGTGGAATTGAGCTGTTACAATTCCTTTTAACTGAAGCTTACAGCTGCCATGTAGCTAGCGGATTCTGAGGCTGATTCAGACTGCCTAGGTTTGAGCTCAACTCTCGTTTACTAGCTGTGAGAACTTAGACAAGTTATTTAACCTATCTGTGCCTCAGTTATAGCTATTGCATTTATAAACTAAGAATAGTGATAGTGCCTGTATCATAGGATTATTATAAATATTAAGTGAATGTATATTTTTCTGAAAAAGGCTAGAATAGGGGCTGTACGTAAACACCTTGTATTTAATATATATACATACAATATATATATACATACAATATATACATACAACAGTTACCTGTTGAACAGTTACCCATCGAACAGTTACCCGTTGAACAACACAGATTTGAACTGTGGTAAGTCCACTTACGTATGCATTTTCTTCTCCCTCTGCCACCCCTGAGACAGCAAGACCAACTCCTTCTCTTCATCCTCCTCCTCAGCCTATTCATTGTGAAGACGAAGAGAATAAAGACCTTGATGATGATTCACTTCCACTTAATGAATAGTAATTAAATTTTCTCTTGCTAATTATTTTCTTAATAACATTTTCTTTTCTCTAAATTACTTTATTGTAAGAATAGAGCATATAGTACCTATAAGGTAAAAAATATGTGTTAATTGACTGTTATGTAATCAGTAAGGCTTCTGATCAACAGTAGGCTATTAGTCGTTAAGTTCCTGGGGAGACAAAAGTTATATGCAAAGTTTTTACTATGGGGGGCAGGGGGCCAATTCGCCTAACCCCTGCATTGTTTAAAGATCTAAGGATCAACTATGTGTATATGCATATATATATATATGTGTATGTGTATTTTTATGTGTGCATTTTTAAGTATGTATTTGTGTGTATATATATAAATAATATACTCTAAGGTATACATATATATACACATATATATATATACACATATACATATATATATATATACACACACATACATATATATATATATTCAAAACCCTAGAGTGTGTGTGTGCATGTGTTTTTATTCTAAAGGTATTCCCTGGGCTCAAGATTTAAATATTTGCTCTGTCACTTTGTTGGAGACGACCTTTTGTCTAGCCTAGTTTTCACATTTCTAAATGAGAATATGTGCAAGAGCATCTGCTTTGGAGGGTTATTTTGAAGAGTAAATGAGTTAGTATATGTAAAACACTAGAAAAGCATCTGGCACATGGTAGATGTTCAACAAATATCAGTTACTATTATTTTTTCCCCTGGACTATACTTAGAAATACTACATCAATTGTTTTTTCTCCTAGTTCTAAGTTTTCATAGTACATCCACTAATCTCATTTCATTGTTTTGCTCTTCCAGTAGATACCTTGCAGATCTTGAAGGCATTTGGACTTCAGATTTCTGTTTTTTTTCTTGTCCATATGTTTTAGTAGCTAACCTCATAGAGCTTTATCTGCGTATGTGCATGCCACTGTATTAAAGTCTCTACATCCACCGTCTCATGTCATCAGCACACATCTCTGTGATGTAGGTACTACCTTATGCTCACTTAACTGATAAAAAATTTATAGCTTAGAATAAATGAGTAATTTGACCAAACTCTATTTCTTATAATTCAAGACCAAGACTTTCAGATACAATGGTCTTTGCTCTTATCTACCACACTATAGTGGGAAATTTCACAGGATCCTCCATGTACCGAAGATAATAACACACAGTAAAAATGACTTCAAAATGTGAAGGAATTAGAAACCTTGGTAATGCATACAAATCAAGAATTGCAGATAAATTTCAGCAAATTAAAACAAGGTGAGCCTCAAGTAAGTATAAAGTCTAGATTGAAAAATAATTTAGAATTCTAGTTGTATTGCTTGCTAGTAAAGTTTCAAAGATGTACATTGGCACAGATAATCAAAATATTGTCAGTTTATGAAAAAAATATATAGTTGACAACAGACCTACGTAGCTTTATAAACAATAAACATAAATTACTTTTTTTACACAATAAGTTGTTATATTTTTAGTATTAAAGTTAGTTTTAATTCAGTACAAAAAGTAAAGGTATCTTGCATTATTGAAGATTCTAAATTAGTCCAGCCTTCATTTCAATTCAATTTTATTTATGCCAATTCTATGTGATTCAAGTCAATATATATTTACAGAATACTATGTATACACAGCATTATGCACTGGCTGAACACAGTTTTCATTATCTGTGTTAGTGTAAGGCACATGTAAAAGGAAAGAATAAAGCGTTTTGCTTTATTTTATAAAAATATTAAAAGTTCATGAATTTTTTAAATTTAAAATATAAAACTTTTAAAATTAAGTATCATATAAATATGCTTCAGTTTTATATTATCACCTACTAAAGGAAAAAGGCAGACACAGATGAGAAAGGGAGGTGAAAAGGTGTAGAGTTAGTTACAAATTACTGCAACTACGGTGGGCTGGTAATCTGGCTCTCCTCCAAAAAAGAAAAAAAAAAAAAAAAGTCCCAGATTTGTAGTGTTTGCTTATTTCACTCTCACCATGGCCAATTTCAAGCAACTAATAGTTTAACAACCATACTGAAAAGTACCTGAATATTTATAACCAATGGCTTCCAGGAGCTATTTCAGGTAAGAGGAAATTCCAGCACACCACTACTGTAACCCTATGAGTTTTCTTGGTGGAGGCAGATTTGGCCATTATTGTCTGTCTTCTTTATTAGACCGTAAAATGCCAAGGGCAGTATTTAAGTCTACCTTGTACAGCCCTACATTTCCCTGCACCTGGCCTCATGCCTGGGGATAGATTAAACTTAGTAAATCTTTTGAATGAACTTTCTCTACACTATGTCCCCTATACCAGAGAATTCTCCTCACAATCCTCTTCAGAAAGGAAGCCTCATTATTATACATAATTCTTCCTTCACAGAATGTCTGGTGTTAGAGGAAGTCCTGAGATCATTGCTATTAACTTCCGCCCACATCTATCCACTCAACACACTTTAATTAGGATACCCCTCCCCACCACCCCCACCTGGCAATGTGGCAAACACAATGTAAATTCTACAGATACAGAGATGAAAGAGATCAAGGTCTTATCAAGAAGTATGATTCCAGGAGGAAAGAAAGACAATGACTGTGCAGTGTGATCAGGGATATGCCTATGTAAGAAGCACACACAAGAGACCATGGAAACAGAGGTGGGTGGAGCCCAACTTCTGCAGGATGACACTGAATTTTGTTTTTTGGTTCTTGGTATGCCCTTTCATGCCTAGTACTGTGCTTTCCTATAACATATGTTGGTTATTACTCACAGATTAAGCGATGGACTTTTCACTGATTTTACCTTAATGTGATTGCCTCTCTTTGAAAAACGCAAAAATCCTAATGTTGGAGAATCCACGATGTATTTTCTTACATCTACGGGCTCAGATCTTGCTGGGAAATTCTGTAAATCCCTGAAACAACATGATTAGGTTAGAGTACAGCCTGATTAAGCCATTAAAATTAGAATCCCATTCAGTGAAAGAATGAATGGCAAGTAAGACCTGCAAACTCAGAAGGGGAGAAACAAAACACTGCTGTTTGTCCAGCTCTACCAAGTACTGTAGTTGATCCCAAAAGAGATTGATTGCCATTCTTGAAAGAATAAGCACAGTAACAGTTATCAAATAAAAAGGACTTTATTAGTATGCAAATATGTGGCTATTAGCTCCACAATTTAGAACTAGAAAAAAAAAAAAAAACCTTGGCATATTTTTCTCCTGTTTAATGGAGCAAGTTTAGGGAAGCGTCGAGCCAATTCTAGAATGAAATTTTATAAGCAGAGCATTTATTATGCTCCCTGTATTTGTAACAATGTCAGTATTCTTGTGCACATCTCATTTTGCAGTAAGCATCTGTAAAACTAGGCATAAAATTTATTTAACTAATGCTTGTTTTTGTCCAGCTGGAGGCAAAGTGATTTTTAACTTTCAACCAGAGATATATTAACTATGCTCTCACCTGCTGGTAGAATAGTACTAAGCAAAGTGTCAGTTAGGCTGATAGGGGTCTTATTCTTAGGAGAAGTGGAGCCTCCTTCACATTTAGACATGCACTTTTTCCCGGTTTAGGTCAGCCTCTGCTGAGGCACCTCAATGCCCTTGTGCTTGCTATATTCCGACCTAGTCTCATTGACTCTCTCATTGGCCACACTTGGCCACATGCAAGTGCATTCCCGTGTGCTTAAAAACAGGATTTTGAAAAGTACTAGTAGCTTCTACAATCAGATGTAATACAGTACTTTATCTATATTCAGCTCTAAAATTCTACTCAACCATCACAGAGTTTATAGAAGATGGACAGAAAAAAAAGAGAACTTGACAGAAACTAAATCAAAGAAGCACAAAGGCCTGAATCCTGCAGTTACTACTGTCACAGGGATAAGCAAAAATAGTGAGTTCCTTTTAAAACCAGGCAATGGGGCTAATGGCTTAACGCTAAGAACTCTCAGTCCATGGATAAGGATCAAGCTGACTCATAAAATGCATTCTGTTCAGTTTGCAGTCCTGTTGTTTCTCAAATGGCCTTCCCTGGCAAGAACTGAGGCTGGGAAGGGAAGCCAGATGTAAACACTAGGCGGGACCTGCAGAATAAGCCTGCATGTGAGCAGCTGCAAACAATCCATTTTAATTCCAAGTCAGTGTTTAAGGACCTTGGGTGTTATAGTCAGGGAGGTAGAAGGGGAGGTGGAAGTAAAAGTGGAATTGGATTTGGCAGGCATGCATTTTCCTACAGACTGTGCTCAATTCTTCTAATCATAGTTATTATGAATGTTTCTCTCCAATTTATTCCCCATGTCACTTTGCACTTTCATGTTCTCCCCACAATCTGCTAGTTGAGGGTATGAGAATGGTTTTTGATTCTACAAATAATAAGGCAGAAAGGTAACAATTCTTAAACCACATAAACACATGCACATGAATTTCCTTGGCTTGTGCCTCCACAGGGCTAAACAATTGTGGACATTTGACAAAGGTTAGAATCATCTGAAGTATGCAAGGACCTTGGTCATATCTTGTAATTTTCCAAATAGCAATGTCTGAGTACAACATAAAATTATCTACAACTGTGTTACCTTGGGCACTTGCCTCCATTCTCTCAGCCTTAGTTTCCTCTTCAGTAAGCCAGGAGTAATTCCTAAGGTCCTTTTCAGGTATGCCATTATTATTTTAGTAGTGAAATTGTTAGCAAACTATCTTTACAATAATGCTCGAAATGAGGGATGAAATGCAGGACTCAAAAACAAAAGGATATTTGGCTAGTTTCATTCAAGTTTGACCATTTCCTTGTAACCTCCATCCTGTGGGTCAATCCATTAATTCTGGGCACCTTTTCTTGTTCCATCTTCTAATTCACCACTAATAGTCTAGTCTTTCTCATTCCTCCCATTTTTAACCTCTGGAAGCATGTGAGTGTTTTTTTATTGAGACATGGATTACATCATAATTAGAATTGATGGGGTGATGAGGACCATTTCTATTTATCTTTTATTCTCTGAAAACTCTGCTTTAGCTGAGATATTAAAGTGCAATTCTAATGTGGAATTCTAATAAGTTCTTAAAGCTTTAGAAAGTTTCCCCAATGCAAAGAGTATTAGCTGTGGTATCCTGGCCAAAGTCCAAATGAATAATTACATTCTTTTCTACTAAATCTTTCCTGTAGTTTTAATTGGAAATGACATTCTTTATTTCTTTACCTCAACTAGTATCTATTGTTCTTGAGCATCTGTTAAAGCTGCTGCATTTCACTCCAGTAGAGAATTCTTTGCAGTAGTTATCCTAGTATTAAATGGCTTATTTAAAGATACCCCATTTGCAGTTTACGTGTAGGCGTGAGCAGGTGTGAATAGCGACTTAAATACGATGATTTATAAAGTGCCTTGGGATCCTGGATGGAAAGGGCAATTTAGACTTGGGTTATCAGCATTCTGTGAAAAACATGCCTCTGTAAACCAGTTACTAATTACACAATTACCTTCTGTGGCACAAGTAAAAAATGATGTGATGCTTTTCAGCAAATTTAGTTTTAAGTAAATAATTCTTGGCGACAAATGATTAATTGTATTAAGTAGTCTTTACTAAACGCAATTTAGGGTAAGTCATTTTTTTAAAAAAAAACTAAAACAACATGATAAAGTAATTGTAATTTGTAATAAATTTGTCTCCCTAGAAGGAATTTTATTTAGGGCAGAGAAAAGTACTTGATTATTATTTGCCTTTTAAGAAGAGCATTAGATTAGTGTATTTTAACTGTATAAGGGAAGTGGATAAGGAAAGCTGTTAAATGCTAATGAAGTCAGGTGAAGTTTCTCACAGTGAAGCGATATACTTATGGATCTCATAAAAAAAGATACTCCTGATAGAGGTAATTTGGGAACTGATATTAATTCTGATTTAAGAACAGTTTTACATAAGGGACTAATAAAGGCATATGCCACCACTATCATAAAACAGTTCTTCCTGGCATAATACAAAACAATCTGCAATTCTTCATATTTGGGAATCTAATTTTGTACAGTTATGCCCCAGTTCAGAAATCTACTAATTAGTTCTTACAGGCCTCCTAACTGTATTGCAACCATGGGTACACTGTAAACAACCACAGAAGATGGAGTATACTGCTAAATTTGGGACACTCAGTGTTGTGATTTTCTTCCCCTTGCTCCCATTGATAAAGGATATAAGAAAAACAAATCACTAGCTCACTTAGTGGCAGAGAGCACTGGTACTTATTTTCTTGCACCGAAGAGGCAATAAGATGGGAAACATTTTAATTTGCCTTTAAAAGAGATTTAAATATCCTCTGCAAGATCATGGTTAGCTGGCAGAATGAGGTTATTGTATAGCTTAGTGAGCCCCACTGACAGTCTGGTAAAATAAATCCAGAAAACACTTCCTCTGGGGAGATTGTCATATTTATAGTTTGCATAGACCAATAGGGAGCCTGTGGCTGCCCCTATTTTTACAAAAATGAATGATATCTACCTAATCTTACCAATCAATACATTTCATAAAGTGATGGATTGGGCTGTAGTGACCAGAATTGATTGTGGAGACAACTGAAGTTAATGAATTAGCTGTATGTCAGCCCAAAGTGCTCTTCAGTGGAGGTCTAATATAATGTCCATAATAATGTAAACATTCCTAGTAGTATAATTTTATAATAAAATGGAACAGCTGAGCAGCCAATGGGGAGGGACAGGAGAAAATGTCTTTGGTAAAATTATACCCTCACTTGGCACATAGTGAAAATAAATCTGATTCAACTATTCATCCATTAACTTTCTCCAAGATCTCCAGGTGTTGAAAGCCCCAGCTGAATGGAAAACATTCTTGTATTTGCATAATATTTTCAGAGATGCTCAACTCATCCTGAGCCTAAAGGGATATGGATATTCTCTGAATATTTTATGTTGCTTTCATTTTCTACAAAGACTTGGTCTAAATTGCAAGATGGAAATGGATATGCAGTGGATGTTTGTCATGGGCAGTTTGCAGGTCTCTCTGATGAATAAAGTAGAAAAATCCCAAATGTAGCCTGTCTTTATTTGAAATATCATGATCTTGAAATTTATCAATGTTTGAATTACAGGAAAAATTTCCCTTTTTGTATTTGTGTTCATTCTAAACTGTTTGATTTATTCTTTATAACGATAGATAATTGAACTTAAAGAGACTTCATATTTTATACATACGTTTATTTCAATTTTTAAATATTTGGACTATTGGCTAACAGGTCAGTCAATATTCTTTGTAATTGTAGGTAATTTGCATTTGAAGAGACTCTATTTTCTGCTTGGGTTTATTTCATATATTTTTATACTCGAACTGATGGTTAATAGGTCAGTCAATATTAAGCTTTAAGTTTCTCCATTGGTCTTTTGGAATCCCAGTGGTCCTCTTACAACCAATTTATTCATTTATTCAGCAAACATTCACACTATGCTTGATAAGTGCTGCGAAGCAATGATACAAACAAATTAAAGCATAATTCCTGTTAACAATTGTATTTTAATTTTCATCTTGTTTGATATTCGTACTTTAGAATGCAATCATTTTAACAAAAACAATTATTTTTCTATTAAATGTTAAAGTAATTTAATAAACAATGATTTTTTCATGAATTGTTTCTGAACCAGGGCTTAGATACAGCATTGAAGGATAATTCAAGATCATTTCCTTCAAATAAAATATAAAATCAAGGTAATCATTTGTGACCATATAAGATTCCATAATATTTGTAATGTTTGACTTTGAACTGTTAGGTGATTACCAATTCCCCTTGGGAAACTGTATTTCAGCTTTCTGTGTTTTCTTATGAATTTGATTTGTTAGACAATGTTCAATATCTACTCTTTCTTGTTATACAGCTTTGCTGTTTTTGTCTGTTAACAATTATAATGTGCCCGGTTACTGGTAAAGGGAGTCTACTATGTAGAATTCAAACAGTGCTTTTCAGAACCTTGGGATATTTGATGGTTTGTCAGTTTTGATGAATGGAGGCATAACTCCCGCTGTATAACAGATTCAGTGTAGTTCCTTCTCCCCGGATGGTAAATATTGGGTCAACCCAGAAGCCAAGATACTCATAGTTTTCCTTGATTCTGTGGTAGTCCCTGTGACAGTCAGCCTGGACTATTGCAATTCAAACACCATCTCCATGTGTATATTTAGCCTGAAATGCTTTCTTTAATTTTCTCTGCCTATTCTATATTTTTGGTAAGATCCAGCTCAGAATCTCACCAATTCTGAGAAAATTTTCCTTAATAGTCTTATGCCACCGTGATCCTTCTGCTGTAACGAATCCTCCCAGCAGTCTGACCCCAGCAGCCTAGGGGAAAAAAAAAAACTATTTTACACACGGAGCTTTAGTTTCTTTGTATTTTATTCACTCCCATTCATTCATTCATCCACCAAATACCCACTCATGCCTAATATATGCCAGACTGTCTGGTATGTTCTAGGAATGCCCTATCTCAGCCCCCAATTCACTCAAGGGATAGAACACAATTCCATCACTAACACTGACTCTCTGATGCAAAGATCTTCAGGAATGATGATATTGGTGGTGGTGGTGCTGGTAGTGGTGATATGGTGATGACATTGGTGTTATTTTGAGTTCCACTCCAGGGACTGTGATATGGTTTGGCTGTGTCCCCACCCAAATCACATCTTGAATTCCCATTTGTTGTGGGAGAGACCTGGTGGGAAGTAATCAAACCATGGGGGCAAATCTTTCCCATGCTGTTCTTGTGATAGTGAATAAGTCTCATGAGATGTGATGGTTTTATAAGGGGGAGGTGCCCTGCACAAGACCTTTCTCTTTGCCTGCTGCCATCCATGTAAGACGTAACTTGCTCCTTCTTGCCTTCCACCATGATTGTGAGGCTTCCCCAGCCAAGGGGAACTGTAAGTCCATTAAAGCTCTTTCTTTTGTAAATTGCCCAGTCTCGGGTATGTCTTTATTAGCAGTGTGAAAGTGGACTAATACAGTAAATTGTTACTGGGAGTGGGGTGCTACTGTAAAAATACCCAAAAATGTGTAAGCAACTTTGGAACTGGATGACAGCAGAGGTTGGAACAGTTTGGAGCTCTTCTGTTTGTCTGATCATCTGCTTGTTTGCTCTTGGAGTCTGGGATTTGGGGTTTATATGGGGACAAGATAATGGGATGTGGTGGGCCAAAAGGCAACTTTTGGGCACAAAAACCGGAATGCCTATTCCCACTTAGGGCTGCAGGTTTCCAGGCTTGAAGGTGGGGTCTTTGCTGGGGAATTGCCCTCTTCTACCCAGTATTTCCCTGTCTCCTGTCCATATCACTATCTTAGTTTGGGGAATTAATGTGGCTAGATATTGAAAGGGTGATCATTTTACCTGACTCCTGAAGAATGGATAGAAGTCCACCTAGTAGGTAAGAGGAAGGTAGAAGCCAGGCGTGGTGGCTCATGCCTGTAATCCCAGCACTTTGGGAGGCCAAGGTGGGTGGATCACCTGAGGTCAGGAGTTCGAGACCAGCCTGGCCAACATGGCAAAACCCCGTCTCTACTAAAAATACAAAAATTAGCCAGGTGTGGTGGTGGGTGCTGGTAATCCTAGCTACTCAGGAGGCTGAGGCAGGAGAATTGCTTGAACCTGAGAGGCAGAGGCTGCAGTGAACTGAGATTGTGCCACTGCACTCCAGCCTGGGTGACAGAGCTAGACCCTGTCTCAAAAAAAAAAAAAAAAAAAAAAAGAGGAAGTTGAGAAGTATAGAGAAAGCCATTACAGGTAGAAGAATTAGCCAGAGTACAGGCTTGTTAGTGCAAAAAAGGATTGCAAATCTTTGCTTACAGCTTGAGAACAGAATGCAAGTTAAAAACAAAAAACCAAAGAGCTAGTTAGTCAGGGAAGAGATTATGGATGGCATAGATTCTATGCAAAGGAGTTGGGGTATTATTTGGAAAGCCATTGGAGCATTGTAAGTATGGGTCACCTATGAGTTTTAGTAAGATCATTTAGGGAGCAGAAGAGAGCTTGGGTTAAGGGTAAAACAGGTAATTCAGGAATCTGAACATTTGAGTGGTTTGGAGGTATATATTCTTTCTCTAACTAGATCATAGTATTCTCAAGGTCTGAGACCTTTTCTTTGTTTTATTTTATCCTAGCCATACTGTGATACCCACAAGTCATATTAACAATTAATTGCTGAACAGAATAAAGAGGCACAGATGAGCCATTAGCATTTTACTAAGGGGCACAGTGAAGCATAAGAAATAGTTAAGAGAACCACATGTATATTTGCATTAAATATGCATTACATTTGCATACAATTTGAGTAAATCTGTTAAAATAATTTCATTTTTTATGTGCATTTTAAATATTCAAAGTCTATTATTGGTGCCTTTTAAAGGAGCCTGGTACACATACTAGACAAAAACATCAGTAGGAGGCTAAGGAAAAGAAGGAGCAAACCCACTACCACCTATTTATTCATATTCAAATGCCCCCAAATCACTATTTACTTCTTATCCTAATGGCCGTTTGTTATACTTGTAATCAACACACTAATGGTTGAAGCTTAGCAATGACCTTGCACAACTGTATCTCTCTGACCTCAGACAACCTCAATTATATAGAGAACTGAAAGTTAGTAAACTTCTGTTACTGGCAACCTAATCGTGGAAGGGGTAGGGGAAGGCTTATTTAGCAAAGAGAACATGAGATTGCATGATCCTCTCAATTTGCGAGCGTCTTTTTCTTCCATTGTTTCTGAAATCACTCTACAAAGTGCTGAACAGCTGTTGGGAGAACACTATACACTGAGTGGGAGGTGAAATACATGGGTGGCTCTCAAAGGCCAGTTCTCCTGGTACCAGTCTGGCTATGCTAGAAGCACCCGTAGAACTTGCCAAAAGATAGATTCATTGTCTGTACCCCTGGAGATTCTCTAGCAATACAGCTGATGTAGGGTTTTCACATGCATAATTTTAAATCTCTCCTCAGATAATTCTGAGACAGAGACAGGATTGGAACCATTAAAATAAATAAATTTAAAAGGACTTTCAGACTTAGTAGTTTCAGGATCCTTCTTGATACCTACTTCCTATGGAGCAGTGAAGAGACTTGGCTGTGGTCTATGACTCAAGGGATTCACCAAACCTGAGAGTGGCTCTGTGGCCCCAGTACACAGAGATATAATCTAGATCACACGCAGAGTTTCCAGGGAGTCAGAGATAGGCTAACCTTGATTCCAGAAACTCAAGGACCATCTCACCTGACCAGGGTAGCACTAGTTAGAAATCTTGGGTTTGTTGAGCCAAGTTTGGGCCTTATCTTTAATGAGCACAACATATACAAAATACTTACACTTGTCTAATACTTGAGCTCTTTTTATATAACTGCCAAGTATTTCTCTTTTTTTAAATTTTATTATTATTATACTTTAAGTTTTAGGGTACATGTGCACAACGTGCAGGTTTGTTACATATATATATGTGTGCCATGTTGGTGTGCTGCACCCATTCACTCATCATTTAGCATTAGGTATATCTCCTAATGCTATCCCTACCCCCTCCCCCTACCCCACAACAGGCCCTGGTGTGTGATGTTCCCCTTCCTGTGTCCTTGTGTTCTCATTGTTCAATTCCCACCTATGAGTGAGAACACACGGTGATTGGTTTTTTGTCCTTGCGATAGTTTGCTGAGAATGATGGTTTCCAGCTTCATCCATGTCCCTACAAAGGACATGAACTCATCATTTTTTATGGCTGCATAGTATTCCATGGTGTATATGTGCCACATTTTCTTAATCCAGTCTATCATTGTTGGACATTTGGGTTGGTTCCAAGTCTTTGCTATTGTGAATAGTGCCGCAATAAACATACATGTGCATGTGTCTTTATAGCAGCATGATTTATAACCCTTTGGGCATATACCCAGTAATGGGATGGCTGGGTCAAATGGTATTTCTAGTTCTAGATCCCTGAGGCATCGCCACACTGACTTGCACAATGGTTGAACTAGTTTATAGTCCCACCAACAGTGTAAAAGTGTTCCTATTTCTCCACATCCTCTCCAGCACCTGTTGTTTCCTGACTTTTTAATGATTGCCATTCTAACTGGTGTGAGATGGTATCTCACTGTGGTTTTGATTTGCATTTCTCTGATGGCCAGTGATGATGAGCATTTTTTCATGTGTTTTTTGGCTGCATAAATGTCTTCTTTTGAGAAGTGTCTGTTCATATCCTTTGCCCACTTTTTGATGGGGTTGTTTGCTTTTTTCTTGTAAATTTGTTTGAATTCATTGTAGATTCTGGATATTAGCCCTTTGTCAGATGAGTAGGTTGCAAAAATTTTCTCCCATTTTGTAGGTTGCCTGTTCACTCTGATGGTAGTTTCTTTTGCTGTGCAGAAGCTCTTTAGTTTAATTAGATCCCATTTGTCAATTTTGGCTTTTGTTGCCATTGCTTTTGGTGTTTTAGACATGAAGTCCTTGCCCATGCCTATGTCCTGAATGGTATTGCCTAGGTTTTCTTCTAAGGTTTTTATGGTTTTAGGTCTAACGTTTAAGTCTTTAATCCATCTTGAATTGGTTTTTGTATAAGGTGTAAGGAAGGGATCCAGTTTCAGCTTTCTACATATGGCTAGCCAGTTTTCCCAGCACCATTTATTAAATAGGGAATCCTTTCCCCATTTCTTGTTTTTGTCAGGTTTGTCAAAGATCAGATAGTTGTAGATATGTGGCATTATTTCTGATGGCTCTGTTCTGTTCCATTGGTCTATATCTCTGTTTTGGTAACAGTACCATGCTGTTTTGGTTACTGTAGCCTTGTAGTATAGTTTGAAGTCAGGTAGGGTGATGCCTCCAGCTTTGTTCTTTTGGCTTAGGATTGACTAACTGCCAAGTATTTCTTTAACTTCATTCTTTCTTTCACATTCTCTTTCTCCTTTTTTCCCTCCTTTCCTTCTATCATTTTTTTCTTCCTTAACCATGGGAATAGAATTTTGAGTTAATCATATTTCTTATGTCATGGCTCACCTTCAACCTTACTCTGTGCATGTCCTCTCATTTGTTTTATTTTTTTCCTCATTCATTTCCTTTATTCCTACCCAGATATAATCACCCATGCTAATATGTTAGGTATGTATTCTTAAATAGGTGTCTGTCTTTGTATAATAAATAATGCTTATTATATAAATGAGACTGTGCTAGAAAATCTGTTTCTTATTTTTACCCTGAGTATAGTTTTCAGGATCTATTCATTCTAGTGTGTGTATATCTATTTTTTCTAATAATTGCACAATGTTCTACAAGATGACTCTAACACATTTTACTTATCGATTTCCATAATAATGGACACATAGATTGCCTTCTGCTTTGCAGTAACATAAATACTACTGAGAGAAACATTCCCTCTCAGATATGTGGAAGAGTTTCTCTAGGTATGTGTCAGAGGCTGTATTTTTAATTAATTGCACTAAGTACTGCCAAGTTGCTCTCCACTACATTGTACTAATTTATACTCTCACCAGAAATGCTGAGATTTCCTGTTTCCCACTTCCTGTTCAACACTTAAAATTATCCAAATTTGCATTTTGCCAACCTCATGGGTAGTAATTGATTGTTCAAAATTTGAGTTTTTTTTTTATTATGATACAGTTAGAATATGCCTTCATATGCTGTTTAACTATTTAGGGTTCATTTCTATTAACTGTCTAAATGTCATACCCATTTTTCTTATTGTATCCCTGTTTTCCTTCTTGTTGATTTTAAAAAGTTCCTTGAGTGTAATTATGTATTAGTTTTATATAAAATAGCTATCTCTTCTGATCTCATCTGTTAATTGTGCTAATGGTACTTTTTGTTAAATGGAAGTTTTTTATTTTCTTGTTTTGTTGCACTCAAACCCATTAATATTTTACCTCATTGTTTTGCTCTTCAGGTGTTATTTAGGAAGCCTTTCTCCATCCTTATAAAATGGAAATATTCCCTTACCTTTTCTTCTTTGAGCTTTATATATTTACCTTTTATACTTAGGGTGTTAATTCATTTTGAACCTATTTTTCAACATAGTATTGGTGGAGGTGGGGGATCTGGACTTATTTTTCTGCATAATTGTGAAGCAATTTTCTCAATACTATCTACAGAAAATAAGTCATTTTCTCATTGGTATGTATTCTACCTTTATAACACATCAATATTCTACTTAGAAACTTTCTTTTCTGTCCCAGAGGTGTATCTCTCTATTTCTCCATCAGTATAGTACTGTCTTTTAGTGCTTGAGATGGAAGATTATCTTTCTTTCCTTTACTTTGTTAAGAATTGTCCTTATTTATTTTATTTATGTTTTATTCTGTGTGTGTATGGGGATGGGGGAGAGGGAAAGAGAGAGAATATTTGGTAAGTTTTACAAAATATCATGTTGGAATTTTCATTGGGGTTTCATTTAATTTATAAAGGAAAATTGGGGAAGTGTCATGCCTTTATAATATTAGTTCATGCTATTTTTGAGCTTAATATATTTATGTATTCAAATATTAGCTTATGTTCTTTAAGAGAGTTTTTTCAGATTAACTTTGTAAAGGTCTTATGATCTTAGTATGGTCATAAGTTTTCTGTATTCAGTGTAAATTTCTGTAAATTTTTGAAATACAAATTTTCTTCACACTAAGGATGCTGTTCTCTAGTTCCAATTTTCTAAATTTAATTGCAAGTAGATGTTTAAGATTTGCAAATAATTTTCTTCATCTATTGAGATAATTATGTGATTTCTTTTCTTTGTCCATTAATGTGTTGTGTTACATTACTACCTTTTCTTCTTTTTTTAAAAATCATCCTCAATTTGGGGGATACATGCTTTATGTTCATAATTAACATTTTAAATATACTCATGGATTTGATTAGCTTATTAGTAGTTTATTCAGATTTTTTTATGTTGCTGAAAATTAAAATGAACCTGTAATTTCCATTTATTGATTTCTTAAAATTTTGGTAAAAAGCATCTGCAAAATCACCTAAACCTAGAGCTTTTTTTAGCAAACAAAAAAATTTGATTATTATATTATACAGTTACCTATTTAAGTTTTCTCTTTCTTCTTGCTCCGATTTAGACATTTTCTATTTTTCTGATATTTATACTTTTGTTTATATTTGGAAACCGAGTATCAAAATTCTTTATAAGTATTTTGCCATTTCTTTCGTTCTTTGCTGTGTCTCTTTCTCACTTTGTATTGATACATTTTCTTTAGGTTTGTTTGTTTTACTTTGTTTTAGTTTTGGCTCTATGAAGTTTCTCAGAAAACCAGCCTTTTATTTTTATTAATTATATCTTTTTACATTTAAATAATTTTTGATCTTATCATTGTTTCCTTCATTTTTGTATTTGATTTACTGAATTCTTGAGTTCAAATGTTTAAGCTCATTTGTTTTCCAGTGTTTTTTTGTTTTCAGATAAGAGCACTTAAACCGATAATTTTTATGTAACAATTCATCTGTGCCCCCACACATTTTTAAATATACTATTTTAAATGCTACTTAAGTTTTTTTTTTTAATTCCCTTAAGATTTTCTCTTTAGTCAAAGAGTTGTTTAGAAACAGATATTTTTGGGTCATTTCCAGGTGATTATAGTATTTTGGCTCTTCTTTTATGAATAATTTCTAATTTTATTGTATTTTTGTCAGATAATATAATCCGAATAATGATGAATCTTTGGAATTTATTTATGATTTTTTATGGGTCAGTTTATAATTAATTTTTGTAAATGCTCCCTATGTGCTTGTAAAGAATCTGTAATATGTATTCACTGGTTTTAGGAGATTTTTGTCTGTTAATCTAAGTTATTCAAACAAACATGTTTTTTTTGGTTTTTTTTTTTTTTTTTTGAGATGGAGTCTCGCTCTGTCGCCCAGGCCGGACTGCGGACTGCAGTGGCGCAATCTCGGCTCACTGCAAGCTCCGCTTCCCGGGTTCACGCCATTCTCCTGCCTCAGCCTCCCGAGTAGCTGGGACTACAGGCGCCCGCCACCACGCCCGGCTAATTTTTTTTGTATTTTTAGTAGAGACGGGGTTTCACCTTGTTAGCCAGGATGGTCTCGATCTCCTGACCTCATGATCCACCCGCCTCGGCCTCCCAAAGTGCTGGGATTACAGGCGTGAGCCACCGCACCCGGCCAAACATGTTTTAAAATATTATATATTTCTCATCTTCTTTTTAATCTGCTAGCTTTTTGTTTTCTGGTTTTAAATCTCCAAATAGTTGATCTATATATTTCTCTTCTTAGTTCAGTCAGTTGTTGGTTTAAATATTTTGAGGCTATATGGTCAGGTGCATATATGTTCATTTTTGTTTCATCTCTTTTGTATATAACATATAATATTTATTTTGTTTCTTGTGATACTTTTGATTGGCTCATGAATTCATTTGCATGAAATCCCTAAATCTTTAAAGTCAAGATTCTTTATTATCCTTTTGCCACTCCTCAGCTCCATTGCTAAAATAGTTTCATAATTAGATATTAACAAGACCAACCAGAAAAGAACCTTTATGAATAACTATTTCTAATGTCTTTTTTTCTACTGTCCAGTATTCATGTGATTCCCAAATCAGGGAGTAGCTTATGCATATGGGTAGAAAGAAATGGGTGTTAGATTGCCCCTGTTAATGAATACTTTACTCTCCCATTCTGAGTTAAGTGGAAGAGAGAGGCCCCCCATAATGGAAAGTGAAAAAAGATGCCAGCACCTGAAATTCTCATTTTTTGAAGGGGAAAGCAGGACATGGGCTTAATGGACATGACATAAGGGTAGGTACATGGCATATGTGTACCTTCCTTCCATGTTCTTTCCAAGGTAGATGTTTTCTCCATCTTACAAATAAAGGAACCAGAGGTTCAATAAATGAGCTGCATTTACTTATGTCACAGAGCCAATGCATGATGGAAGCGAAATACAAATATAGGCCATGCTAATTCTGATGTTTACGTTCTTTGAACTGGGCCAAATTGCTATTCTGTCTTTGCATGTCAAAGAAAGTTGAAGTAGAGAAATTCCCTTTATCTGAAGATATCACAGGGGTTGCAAGTCAAGATAAAAGATCTCTTGTTTTACATCTTGGTTTGTAGGATAGTATAACTCTGTATAAACATAAAAACAAAAAAGAGATGGACTGCTTTTAAAGAAAGCCAGCACTGCTGACTATCCTAGCACAACATTGCTGAATGTCTGTCAAGGTTTTTCTAAAAACAAAAAAATTGCAACAGAGAAATTCAAATTGTTATAGTTAATTGTGAGATTAAATTGCCATTTGTCAATAGCAATGTAATTTCTATTATAAATTACAGGACTGTAGCTTTCAGGAATATTTTATCAATATGTTTTCAATGATTTAATAACAATATTTCTCAAAAATAAGCCAAACTGGTTTTTTCCGCTTTTTAAATGAACATGTTCAGAGGATTTTCATCAGTGTGCTAGCCAGCTCTGCAAAATTTCTAGTAAATAAATTATCACCAGGAGGCTCGAAATCCATTACCATAAAAAAAGCCATTTTTCCTTCCCTAATCGATTGCCCACTGTGCTACTGCTAATGGGACCATACACACATGTTGCGCAGAGGGAATTTGTTTTCAGGTTCTCTCTTTTCTAGAATTTATTTTACAAAGAATTTCTCACTAAACTCATAAATTAGTCAATGCATAAAATGAACACTTCAGCTTGCAGCAGGAGAAACATAAATGTTGTGCACCTAGGGCATTTTCCAAGCTGGTTTCCAGGAAAATGGAGGTTGCACTAGGTGATTTGCAAACACTGCAGCACCTGCCTGGGAGAGCCAGTCCTTTCCCTGCTTCCCACGCCATAGTTTGTTTGCTCATGTGTTCTTGTTGGCACACAAATTTCCTATATGTTCTGACTGGTATTCCATATGACAAGTGCACTGAGCAGTATTGGCCTTTGAACCTAGAAGTTTTGAAATTATCCCAGGGAAACTGGATCTATTTTACAAAAGCATCCCAGTTCATTCCCACAATCCCATTTTTACCTCCAATCTCACTCTTCTATAATTCACAGATGATATTACAGTCATATAAATCCCATGTTACAGCATTCTATAAGCTTTTTATGAGCCCAGAACTTTGGCTGCTAAATCAGCCTTGCCTATACACAGAATAGGTAATCCTAGGGAATAAAATAGAAAGTGGCACGGGATGGGCCTGTCTCCCCCAGATTTATCCCAGTTGAATCAGTCAATCTGAAATTTTTATTTCAATTTTTTTCTCTTGACCACTCCAGTTGCCTTCTCTCAACAATTTAGGATTCGGAAGCTAAAAGCAGATTTAAGTTCAATTATTCAATTGCCTTCCATTCACAGATTTTCTTGATCAAGGTAGCACTCCTGTAAGAGGTAAAATCTGGAATCTTGGCTGAATTTCTTGATTTTTTATTATGAATGAAAATACACATTTTTTGAGATAACAGTTGAGTATTAACAAATGCAAACCAGCCTGAGAATAAAATGCCTGCAAAGATTGGGGTGAAGTGAAGGTGCATTGGAGAAAGCAGGCAGGGGATAAGAACACAAGGAACTTGGTATAAGGCATAGAAAATTATAGTAGAAGCACTTCGTGGAATTGCATGACTTATCTATGTGGTTAGGCCAGATTCTGACTGTTAGCATATGTCATACTTTCTTTATGATGTCTTTACAATTCTCTTATAGTAACCAGTTTTTTTTTTTTTTTTTTCTCATTCTCTTTTTAGGTAAGTTGCTATTCCTGTTTTTTAAAAAACTGTTGTCCGAGAAAAAGTCATGAATATGAGGCAAGTATCTACTTTGTTATGGCTTCTAAATTCTCCATCTTTGGGTACTACTTCTCTTTGTCTATTTTATCTTAGATTATTTAAAAATATAATGGCACAGAGTTTAGAGATTTCACTTAATTAAAAGTGTATAGGTCTGATGTTATCCTTATGTGAGCTAAGTGGTCATTTGGAGATTGTTACAAAGGCTACAACGTTTGTTTGCATATTCATGTTTACCATCAAGTTTCTTGTGAGTTTCTCACTGTGAATTGACTGACTGACAGATCTTGATGAAGTTTCAAAAACCAAATGACACTCTTTCTATCACTGAGGCATGCAAAATGGTGGAATTTAGATTTTACAGCAAAGCAACATAGTCCAGTTCTCTACACCAAAGTTACACAGTTATTTTGTCATTGTGATTTTCATTCACCAGATTAATGATTTAAATTCGTGATGATTGATCAGGAATTTTTTGGATTATTGTGGTTGCGTACAATGTGAGTGACACACTTTAGAAATGTCTTTGCTTTTTCTTTGCAATTCTTCAGTTAAATTCTCTTTTCTGGTAGGCTCATGTTTATTATTTCACTCTGTTTTCATAAACGTAAGAGTCGATGGTTGATTGATAGATAACATATTTACTTGAATAACTATCAAGGAATAAAACTCTGGCTATTTGTGAAATACCATAGAAAATCCTAAATAATAAAGGATGAAGATTTATAATTTGTAGTGTTTATTTCACCCAGTGGAGATTGTCAATAAGTCACTATTTTGATATGTCATACCCTAAACAAACCAAAACATTTATTGCAGTTTTTCTAAGTACAGAACTGTCAAACACATTTTGTTATTAGCAGTGTGTGTGTGTTTATTGTGACTGGATACAACTAAATCAGAATTTTAAATGGAGCTAATTAGACAGTGTCTACATTGTCAAAATGGTAGACCTGAAACAGAGGAAATACAAATGTAAATCACACTGTCGTGAAAATAACCATAGATCCTTAACAGTTTGAAAATAAATAGCTGTAGTGGGATTTATGGTGTTAAAATTTTAGTCTAATTACAAACATTAATTTAATGTAGTAGCATTACTAGAGCATTTCTATAGCTAGATGGTCTCAGGCAAGACCCAAATTACATATCTTAGAAAATATTTTCTCACTTATTAACTAACACCTTACATTATTGAAGCTTAAAAATACTTTATATTCAAGTTGACTTTTTATCAAAGAAGTAATTTGTTTTCTTTTAAAAAAATGTAATTATTTAAGATAGTGTAATTTCTCCATGTTTAGATTTTTCACTTTATTTCCTGGTTCTCAAATATTACCTCAAGTTTCCTTTGTGTTTAGGCTTTTAACACCACAGGAAAACAAATTTTAAAAATATATTTTTTCATTGATATTTTCAAGAAAAGAATTATTGTTGCTTTGGGAACTTTAACAGAGAGTTTTCTGACTCCTGTGTAATTACAATCTCAGTCTTAATGATACATTAGCATATTTTTGCATCTAATTTTATAAAAAAATGCAAAACTCTGTAATAATGCAGTCTTGAGTGGCAAATTTAAAACCATGAAAGTTAGGTAATTCCTAAAAATAAGATGCCTTGAGGTAAGAATAGAATACATTGTTATCTATGTATATAAAGATTCATATACATATGCATATAATATACAATAATAAAACTGTCAATAGTTAACCCTATTTCAAGTTGCTTTAAGCAAACAAATATAATTATTATTCTCTTTACATAGTGTTGAGATTTTGCATTAAAATAAATAAACTTTGCTGTAGACCATCTTTTTATCAGGAATATCCAATTCAATAATTATTTAATAAACATCTATTTGTTATTGGGAACTATGCCAAATACTGTTGGAGACAGATAGATAAACAAAGTAGATGTTGTTCCCAAGTAGCCCTTAATACAGGGGTGGAGATAAGCAAAGTCTGTATACGAATGCCATATAATGTAGAATACGAAAACACCTATCAACCAAGCATGAGCAGAGTGGTGTGAGTGTATGAGAAAAATATTTCAAACTGAGAAATAAGAGAAAACTTTATGAAATCATTAGTTATGAACCAGGAATGGAGGATGGATGGAAATTTGAAGGAAGGTGATTTAGAAGCACACTAGATAGAAAACTTCATGGGGAAGACTCAGAAGAGGAAAAGGCATTTTGGGGGAACCCAATAAGTTGTAAAAAGAGATGATTAAAAGATGTAATTATCTATGAAACCATAATATTAGATTAAATAATTCTTAATTCTCTAGGATTAATTAGGTCATTTTTGATTATATGGTCTTAAGAGGATTGTAAAACCTTGATTTTATGGGCTTCTCCTCTTTTCAACTGAATAGTGCACCCTTCCTAGGAATTCAGTAATAACGCATTTGACGATAAGTTAATTGTACCCAATAGAATGTAAGTTCCTCCACTAGTTTACAAATTTATGAAAAAGGGGACTGTAAATTCAACGAAAACTTTATTCACATCAGTATATCCAGTTCTTAGCCAAGTTCTTTGTAACAGTTTGCCTTAAATAAATGTTTCATTATCTTAAGACTTTCCCAGTACCTTGATTTCTTATTCCACCAAGCCACACCTGACCCATTCTTCCTTGTCCCTATAAATTGTTTGACCATGTGTCTTACAACAAAACACCTGAACCTTGTAAATACCTAACCCAAGGTGTGGTGGTTGAGACCAGAAATTCAGAAATGTGTCTGTCTATGGTTGAATCCATTTCAGTCGTATCCAGTAGTATAACTTTGAAGAAGTTTCTTAATATCCTTGTGCTTCTGTTTCCTTATCTATAAAACAGGGATGAAAAATTCAGTTATTTTGAAGATAGAATGAGTTAATATAGTTAAGTAGAACATACCTAGCTCATTATAGCTATATAAGTGCTTGCTATTTTCATTGTTATATGTTTGAAAAGCAGCTTTTTTAATATATAGTAGTGTTTCATTAACATTAAATATAATTAAATAGCTATTATAATGATTCCTCAGAACTAATAAATAAGTTAAAGTCGTAATACATACCATGTTCCCATTTTATGAGTCACTGAGAATATATCATATATATTTGTTTTGTGTAGAATTGTGCTGATGTAGTTTTTAAAGAATAAGACTAAAGCTGAAGAAATTTTAGATGCTGTACCTTATGCGGCATGCTTTTTCCTATAGCTCAGTGTTTTATGCTTAGTTATGTGCTGCTTATTTGTTCTTCTGACCAGAGATTTTACTAAAGAGGTCGGACTTGTCATCTTTAATTCTCTTCTGATGCCTCTAGTTTATACTTAGGATGCTGTTGCTAACAAACAGTCCTTTGTCACTCAGCTTTTTTATCATTTCGTTCTGTAATGATAACTGAAAAGTGTATTTGGTAATAACAGGTATTGCTGTTTTCATTTGTCTCAAGTGCTGTTTTTACTGTCATCTATTGCAGTTTAATGACGCAAACCTTGACAGTACTTTTAGATGAGCTGTGTGATAGGCAACACTTGAATGAAAAGGAAAAGCTGATCAGCAAGCGGTGACTCAGTAAGGGAACATGGAGGTGTGAGATTTTCCTTTAGAACAAGCTTTTCCCGAAGAAACAAGGACTCTAATGAGAATGTTTTCAATATTGTCTCCATGTTCCAATATAATAGCAAGGAAAGTATTGAATAATACAGTTCAGTAAAGGTTCATATATTTTATGAGCAATTTTATCAGAAGTGCTGTTACTTTTTGAAATAGCATTATTAGTCTTTGGATTGAGTGCCAGAAAGCTTTGAATATGTAAAAAATGATACAACCACTTTCACTTATAGTTTAGGGTATACAGACTCCAATACTGAACCCAAGGTAAACTACACAGAGCGGTTGCACTTAATGAAATTTAGTTGCCTTTACCTTTACTTTGGAGAGTGAGGAAAACCTATTCTTGAAGCAGAACACTTTTGCTTGAAGGAAAAGTGAGAAGTGAAATAACAAAATACAATGAGAATAAAGCTTAGCATAGAAGAGTAGTTTTTGTCAGTATGTAGGAGGTGGCCACAGAGGGTGGGAGATAGCAGAGCGAATAATAAACATAGAATTAAACTTTTTTGCCAGAGTTCTTAAGTAATGTGTAAAGGTAGAGTCTGATGAAGATACTTTAAACTTGGAATTTATCTTCTCAAGGAAAATGCTGTAAAAACCCTTCCTGGATTATAAAGAATTATGCATACACACATGAAAATTATTTGAATATAGTAATGACAGTCACCAAAATTTTTCAATTTATTATGTGTTACAGCCCTTTGCAAACTATGCCCCGATTGTATTTCAAAGTATATAGGTTGTATGTGTGTGTGTGTGTGTGTGTGTGTATATATATGTATATATATATATGTGTGTGTGTGTATATATATATATGTATATATATATGTGTATATATATGTATATATTTATTTATTGATAGCAAATTGATAGGTAGATAAAAGAACATAGGTAAAGATACAAAAGCCAATTGCTTGTTTGGTCTCAAATTTATTCCCTATGCTTCACCTGCTCAGCTCTGTATCACAGGTTGTTGATGCTACAAAGTAAATTTTCCTGTGTCCTTGCTAACTGATTTCCTGCTAGGCTCAGTCAGTGAGAGTCACTCGTGGGAGACTGGCAGTGGGAGCAAATAAGCTGGGCTATTTCTCTCCATCTTTCTCTGTGCTTCTGCATCTCTTCCAGGGTCCAGTCTCCACAGGGCAGCCTCTGCTATGATCGCAGTTCCCTTTGCATGGTCTGACTTCCAGGCTATGGTAACAACACTTCCTCCCACGGTTCCGGAGATGGCAGTATCTTTCTGCTACTGCCAATCCCCAGTGTATGCCATCATCCACTATTTACTTTTCAGCCTTTCCAACATTATTGTAATATCTTCCTTGGATTAAATTTCCTCTAACAAACTACCTGGCATAAATTCTGTTTTCCCAACTAATCCTGATTGTATAGGTTAAACTTAGAATTTGGAATCTCTATATAAGTTTAATTCATAGCCATTCCATATGTCATATAAACAGATCATCAGACAGGTGCCGGCATAATGACCCAAATTATCCTAGACTTTTCTATCACAAGGTGTAACTTCACCTCTGTTACTTCCACATGAGCCTTGCAACTTTTCAAGCACACTCAGCAACACTCTTACTCTGCATCACAAATGCCAACCTGATTGAAGAAACAAATTGCTAATGCTAATGCTTTAATCAATTAAATAAAAAAAGATTCCAAACAATGTGTCATTGACTTAAATCCCAATAAGAGTTTCAAAATGAGGGAAAGGATTTTAGGGAAAACAGGGTTGGGGTGGGGAATTGACATGATTTTTTAAAAATATATATATAGTGAATGGTAGGCCTCTCAATTATACCTGAAGGAATGGTGGGGTATGTATGGGAAATGGCCTGCTGGTTGGAAAAAGAGAGACACCGTAATAAACACAGGTCACTGTAAAGGGCTGAGTTTGATTAGAACAAACTGCGAGTGTAGAGAGCTTAAAGAAATAATGAACCAAAACCAGGAGCAAGAACACTCAAAATGTCCGGCCTCCAATTTTCTTATGAAAAAGTAGAGCAGATCACATGAAAGGAAAATGGCTGCAACAGAATAATTGGAAGTTGTTGGAATAAGGAGGAACTTTGTGATTTACTGCTGGAGGAGTCAGGTGATCATTAGCTGATGAAAAACAGAATTGACACAACGGAAGACCGAGTGAGGATGGTCAAAATTAACCTCTGTTGGGGCAGGTAGAGTGTCTTTTCCTCTATAAACTCATTCTTTGAAATAGTTTAGAATGTCTTATGCTCTTATACCCACCATAGGACCTACTAGAGGTTTTGGAAAATGTATAACTTGTAACAGGTTTGTTGGCATATGGTAATTGATTAAAAAATGAACCAATAGCCTTTTTTTCAGATTTTTGACATAAAATATCCAATACTTATAGTTCTTTTGGATGAAGAACATCATTTACCATTGCCGCGACATCAACATATATACTACATAGCCTGTGTTAGGGGTTATTGTTTTTACTAAATAACCATTTGTGGTCTGATTTTGCCTTAAAAATATTTTTGCCTATAAATGCTATGTCTCCTTGGGGTGTCTGATTATAGACTGCACACTTGGTGGGTGTATTCTTTTTTTTTTTTTTTTCTTTTTGAGACGGAGTCTCACTCTGTTGCCCAGGCTGGAGTGCAGTGGCCCGGTCCCAGCTCACTGCGAGCTCCACCTCCCGGGTTCATGCCATTCTCCTGCCTCAGCCTCCCGAGTAGCTGGGACTGCAGGTGCCCGCCACCACTCCCGGCTAATGTGTTTGTATTTTCAGTAGAGACGGGGTTTCACCGTGTTAGCCAGGATGGTCTCGATCTCCTGACCTCGTGATCTGCCTGCCTCGGCCTCCCAAAGTGCTGGGATTACAGGCGTGAGACACCCCACCCAGCCTTGGTGGGTGTATTCTGAGAGCATTTAGTCAAGTTTGGAAAAATTTGGATGGACCTGACACTTCTGAGTACTTTGAGAAAATAATACAGGAGACATTCAAATTTAACACAAGTAATGTAATAGACTCAATGTGTTTTCTTTTCAAATTGCATTAATGTACAGACTAATGGTTAGAAAGGCTAACAAGGTAATGTTAGAACTAATACATTCATTACTCTTAGAAATGCACAATGCATCTTAGAGGGCAAGTAAAGGGCTAGTTTTTTTAAGAATCATCTGTATCAAATTGTTTAATTTTAGATGCCAGTGTTCTTGCTGAAGTATGTTAAGCCACTACAAAAAATACAATAATAAAAATATTACGTTTATGAATTCGATGATCTCTATTACTTCTTTTGACTCTTTTAGCTTAGTCTTCAAGCTAATAGTTTTAAGGCTAGACTCTTCAAGTGATAGATGTTAGAAATTATCTGAGCCTTTTGTGTCTTCCTTCTTTCATATAAAATAAAGTCACCTTTGAATAGTAAAAGAAAAACTTTAGTCCTAATAAAAAAATCTTGTTTTATCCATCCATCCATCCATCCATCCATCCATCCCTTCATCCATCCATCCATCCATTCATCCATCCATCAAAAGTAAAAGTCTGACTCAAATCTTAGTAGTGCCGTTAATCAGCTATGGGAATTCAAGCAGGTCATCACTTTTGGGAGCCTACGTTTTATCAATTATAAAATATGTACAGTATTGTCTACTTTATAGGATTACTGAAGGGTCAAATACAATATTATAGATGAAAATGTTTTACAAACTTTAGAGGGATATATTAATATTAAGGTTTATTATTTAAAATAATGAGTACCTTCTATTTGAAAAATCTGGGCAAGTGTCTGGTAAGGGAGATAGAAAATTAATAGAACATAATGTTTGACCTAAAAAAAATTGGTAAGATCATTAAGTTTAATAAGTCAATTGTTTTTTTTGGTTTGTAAAGTCAGATGAAGCCCTTGAAAACAAGGTTTTCTGAAGCTATCACTTGTTTTGGAAACTAGACTTGTTCTTTGTTCAATTAAGTAAAGTTTGAATATTATGGAAATGAAATAACATCAGACTTGCAAAAATTCTAGCAAGCCTTTATTCCAACATCCTCACTATAATAGATAATAAAACTAAACCTGAATAGATGAAATGACTTGTCCACAGTCATCCAGCAAAGTAGTAAATGAATTAGGAATAGAATTCTGTTTTATTTGTTTCAAGTACAGAAATATTTTTATAGGATTGCTCAAGCTCCTTTCTTATTGGCCCAAAACTTTGTTGAACCATATAATGTTATACTCTTTTATGTGTAAACTTTGAAGATGACACGACAAAGCAGATAAACAAGGAACAACGACAAAAACATGGATTAAAAGGAGGAGACTGACAAACATAATAGTGCTCTGTTGCGGGGATTGCTGAGAAAGATTCGCCCGCTTCAAAATGGCTCACTAAAAAAAATAGGTCAGAGATACTAGATTGAGAAATGTTAAGCTCTCAGAAAGATCATTAGCACTAGATTTAGATAAATAAAGCATTAGAATTAGATGATCATATATGGGTTTTGAGGAAATTCAAGTGTAGGCAAAATTTATGACTTGTAATTAGAAAGAGCCATTTCATTAGCTTGAAATCCTAAGGAATTATATATGAGCTGATACTGCTTTGGTAGAAAAATTAGGATAATAGGGAATAGAATAATATTTCTAAAGTTAGTATCTCATCCTAATTTCCTGTCGAACCCTAATTCTGTACTTCTAGTTATATATGAGCTATTCCCAAGTTTATATCACAAATTCCCATCACCATGCAGAATTAATAGATGTTAACATTGTTATATTTACTTCTAATTGCTTTTATAAATAAAACATAGATTAATACTCTTTTTCTATTATGTATTTTAAGAATTTATTTGTAGCCTCATGCTTGTTTCTCTAATTCTACATTTTTATGGTTTCTATTATTTGCTGAACACACAATAGGTACTTAATATGCTTCTTGATTCTAACTTTAAAAAAACATGTTATTTTCTAGTGCTTTAGAAAAATTTTGTCATTTTTGATTTTGCTCTATTTTATTTTCCACTTCATTATTAATATCCATGATTCTAAATAATACTGAGAAAGGGGCATAAAATTAAAGAGTCACAGGAAGAAAAGGTGTTTTCCACATTTTACATATTCTTATTTGAATACCTCTCTTTCCTTTTCCCCCAAACCTTATTATTAGAATTACTCCTTATACAACCCTTAGTTGATTTTTTGTATTATGATTACTATACTTGTCATGGTTTAACTATTTCAAGGAATTCTGGGAGAAACTAGAATATGAGAGTCAGACTTAGATATGAAACCTGAATTATACTGGTGGTATCTTATCACAACAGATTATTCCTTAATTCTAAGTTTTTCTGAAGCAAGGAAGATACAGCCTTAGAATGAATTTTCTATACTTAATTTTATGAATAATTGAAAAAAATCAGGAACTAGGGTGAAATAGGTATGGGACAATCCCCCTTAACATATTTTCTGCCACTGTTGAAAGACAGGTATTCTGATTTTTAAAGATATAGAATGGAAATGATACAATAACTTTTTGTCACCTGGGGATGTTAAAAGCTAGAAGACAGTCAAATCTCAGTTTGACAGGAGATGTAAGCCCACTTTTGAATACAGATCATGTCCTAGTTATCTATACTTTTTTTAGCTTACTGCTATGTGGCCATAATGGGCTGGCCTCATGACATCTTCAAAGGCCAGCAAGAAGCTGGAGAGCCAAAGCAGGATAAAAACATTTGGTCTATTCTGTCACTGAAAGGCCAGATGACATGTGTCTATGTGTGCTCCTCTACTGACTCAACAGTTAGTATACAACCGGAGATATTGACAAATCTGAAAAGGCATCTATGGTTTAGGCATCAGTGGAGCAACACAAATCACAGAGAGCATCCAGTGGTTCTATTATTTCAGTTTTTCTAAGATCTATGCTAACTAATTGCTTTGATTTCATTCCTGTGGGTACCCTGTTCTCTGCCAACCTAATACAATGCTATTATTAAAATCAAACTTAAAACAAGGTTATATTTTCACTATTGAGCTGCTTTCGCACTCAGGTAGTGGAATACGTGGTTCTCAGGTAGGACATACTTTTATTAAAGAGTCACACTGCTCTTTACAAATATTAACTCATTAATTTGCACAGGCATCCCTCTGTGGCTCCTAGAAACTATTATTTTTCTCAGTTTATAAGGAGAGGAGGAGAAACAATGGCACATTTTCCTAAGTTCGCATTGCAAAGAGGAAGACAGGGAGAAGATAGGAACAGTCACATAGCCCTTCTAACATCTCATTAGAGCAACAGCATTACTTCTCGTTTTGAGTTTGTCACAATCTAAAAAGCTTTCCCAGATCATATTTCAACATTCACTAATATACAATCTTGGATGAATGAATTCACGTCTATAAACTGAAGTTTCTTCATGTGTAAAATGGTGTAAATGATACATATTTTATTAGGATTGCTTAAAGAACCTAAGTAGATCTAATTGGTTAACTGCTTAGTAGAGTCTTTTTTTCTGGTACATAGTAAGTGTAAGAAAATGGAAGCATTTCTTAATAAAGTAAATTTCATTGAGCCATCTTCCAATAGGCAAAGACGTCTAATAATGGAAGTGCTGTTTCATCAGGTGGTGAATTACCCAACATTGGCAGCCTTTGTAGAGGCTAATATCCATTGTTCATCTATGTTAGAGGAGGGACCGGGCCTCAGATATGTGTGATGGCTGAATGATTTTGAAGTCTCCCCCAGTTCTGAAGATCCAAGCAGTCGTAGGTCGTGAGGCATTGTATTAAAGGATCATGAAAATTTCTGATGCTTGAACAGCTTTTTACAGTTTAAGTATACTATTATTGTGCTTATTCTGACTTAATCCTCACAATAGCCCTATGAGGAAGACAAGATTGGTATAATTGTCTTCATTTGTAGATGGGAAAATAGCGAGCATCAGAGAAGTTAGGTGACTTTCTTAATGTCGTATAGTTAGAAAGTTAGAAAGCTGAAATTCATATCCTGTTTTTCTGCCACTGTCTCCTTGAATTTTGCATCATGTGGAGTCATTCATGTTTCTATTCTTGTGAGGGGTGCCATTTAAAGAACATGTTTAAAGACCCACCCACTTTCTCAGCATTCCTCTTCTGTTCTGTCCACATCTACTCAATTCCTGCTACATCCACAAAATGCAGTATTACAATGCCCATATGTACTGGTTGAAGACCTAGAGTGAGGTATAAAATTGGAAAGAACATTGCCACCCTACTTCTAACCACCCACTCTTTCAAATATTGCTCAGGCATCCAAAAAAAGACAAATGCCAAAGCAAATACCATCTTTTGTTATTCTCTTTGCACGAGTGGCATTCTAAAAGGTCATCGGGTGAGGGGAGAAACATTTCTTGCTATGAATTACTCTTGAGATGAAACTGCTTTTTAATCTAAATCTGTGGTTGCATAACCATTCAGCCGGTGACTAATTGGGGTGGCTGTGATTGGGATAGTAGCAGAAAGCCAATTCTGCGATGTTGAGAATGGGCTCCAACCTTACTATAATTTACTGCCGTAATAACAGGACAGAGAAAAATACTGCAAGTTTTTAATAGCCAATCAGAGTGTTTGCAGACCTTCATTTTTTCCAAGTTCCAGACACATATCACAAGGAGGGATATCAGTTGCCATTCAGTTCGGATCAGTTTAGCCATTTTTTTCATTTTTGAAGCTTGATTCATACTGTATTTTTCCACTTACTGCAACAAATACTTTATCTGCTTTCTTTAAAAAATGAGGTAAACACTATCAGCTAATGGAGAAATTGGATTTGCCCTTCTTCACATTTTTCCATGGTAGTAAAATAAATGTCTTTATATAGACATGAGTGTTATGTATATGCTGAGAGATGCTGAAAGTTTCTTTCAGTTTGAATACCCTGATGGGAATTAGAACGTTGAATTTATTCCATCTGAATGTCCTTCTCAGTCCTGTGTTTCAGCTGTTCATACTGACCCACTGTCTTTCCTTCCTGTTAAGCAGTAAGGCAGACAGACTAGCTCTTTTTAAGAACTCGTTAGCTTGGTTTGTATGTGTTTGGGTAAGTCACAAATGTATTTCAAATCTTGATGATTTGTGGAGAAGGCATCACCAACCAGGAGAGTAGAATCAGGGAATCCTGAAAGGAAAGGTTCATTACTTGTCCCATAACATCTTTCATTATTTTACTTAACAAACAATGAACAATATATTATAAACATAAAGAAAAAATATTAAACTTTGAACCCTTCTAGTGACTCTCAGCTTTTTATGGGAGACATATAAGCAATATGACAGTAGACTCTGTGTAATAATAGATGAGAAGTCAACTGTTTCAAAGGCAAAGAAGAAAAGATCTTGACTATGTCTGGGGACTGCTAAAAGGCTTCCCCAGAGGTAGAGACAGTTGGATAGGGTATCAAAGAATGAACTCATAAGATAGATTTAGGAAGAGCCGTCTTTTTAGACAACAAGATATACAAATTCATGGGGGAGTGACTGAGCATCCTGTGTCCGAGGCAAATTGTTTGATGTGACTAAAGCAACATGTATACCTGAGGCAGTTGCAAAAACTTGTAGTAAGAGAGCCATAGGGGGGTAACCTGTGTCTTGTGAAGGAGTTTGTAATTCAGTGTTGATGAGAGGTGATCTGGATAAGTTTTTAGCTTGCGGCAATTTCAAAAGCCATAATGCTATAGCATCTGATGGGTGTGATTAGCAGCTGGTAAATGTTTTCTTCTCCCGCTTGTTCCCTGTTTAAGCTGAGTTCAAGACACTCCATTTCCAGGGACCTAATTGGGGGATGGATACAGTTCATCTCCATCTCTGTGGAAAGGATTGATTCAATGATATGCAAGATATACAAAAGCCTCTGTAATCTTTAAAGACTTCCTCTTATGAGCTGAACTAAGGCCATCACAGTAGGATAAGGGAGAGACTGAAAGGAATCTATGTGGAAAGAGAAGTGACAGGATCTTGACAATGGCCTAGTGAACCATCCTGAGTCATGGCAAATGAGTGGATGATTATTCAGAGAGCTGCAACTGGAATATGAGAGAAAAGATAACATTTTCCACTCGGCAAAGGGAGTAGGTATGTGGAAGATCTATGGTGGAGGAGACACAGCTTAGGATCCCATGTTCAACTTAAGTTGATGGCTCATACATAATCAAAGCATCTAATTGTTCTTGATCTTTCTAGAGCAGCGTTCAGTATGTTTTAAATGACTGCTCCTCCAGTAACATTGTTAAATGGGCCCTAGCTAACTTCCAGTTACCTATAGTTACTTAGAATTACATATAAGACAGCATTGTGGGAACAAGAGCAAAGGAGTTGATAAGTTTATGTTAAAAATAAAATAATTTAGAAATAAGTATTACTAATAATATAATAATCATAATGAATTATACTATGCACTAGGCTGGTGTTAAACACATTATGTATGTTTTCTAATTTAATCCTCACAACCCTAAGAAAGAGGTAGTCTCATGATTGCCATTTTATAAAAGAAAAAATATAAGAGCTAGTAAGGGACAGTGGTTGCCCAGGGTCTCACATTGGGAAGTAGTATATGTAGGACTCAGATCCAGGCTTGGTAAAAAAAGGAGGGATGTAGGTGTGTGATGCTGGCTGGTATATTGATAATAGTCCATAGAGCATCTGTCAGTGCCATATGTCAGCTTCATAGAGCATCATGAAGCTTCCAAACAAAAAGGCTAATTGTTTTTTTAAGAAGTGTAAGTTTATTAGGCCAGTGAGAGTATTTGCAATGATAATTCAATAGATGGAATGAGAAAGAGAGTGAGAGAGAACACACATGTGAGAGAGAGAGTGAGAGAGAGAATAAAAAGTCTTTTCAGTCTTCATCAACCACCATCTGACTGGCGTGAATTTCAACACAGTTTATAAGGGAATAGGCATTAAGAGTTTGGAGGATAGAACCATCCTTGAAACAGTACATAAGTAAAAAGCTCATATGATTCTATAGAGTCTTCTGAACTGTCTTTGCTCACTGGAGTTGTACCTAACAGTGACCTCGAGGCTGTTCCACAGGTCCCACCACAGACATCCTGATACTCAGACAAAAAAAGCTGGCTATAGACTGCTGCATTAGCTTTTCTCACTAGTGGAAGTTCTTCCACTGCCATTTATGCCGTTTATTAGTGGAAAGTAATTTTTTAAAAGAGCCCTTTCTTTTAAAGTGTATTGAAGCGGTATAAAAGTATGGAATCATGTCCTTTGCAACAACATGGATGTAGCTGGAGGCTATTATCCTAAGTAAATTAATGCAGAAACAGAAAGCCAAAGATTGCCTGTTCTCACTTATAAGTGAGAGCTAAATATTCAGTACACATGGACGAAAAGATGTGAACAAAAGACATTGAGGACTACAAGAAGGGGGAGGGAGGGAGAGGAGCAAGGGCTGAAAAACTACCTATTGGGTATTATGTTCACTACGTGGGTGACTGATTCAGTCGTACCCCAACCCTCAGCATCATGCAATATAGCCTTATAACAAACCTTCACAAGTACCTCCTGAATCTGAAATAATAGTTGAAATAAATAAATAATACAATAAGCCTTGCAGTATGATGTGAAACTCCCCCCGTCTTCTTCCATCCAGTGGTCCTTTTTCTAAGACTTATCATGAGGGAAGAAAGGTGCTCCAATATCTTGGCTTAAATCCAAGCCAGGAAATTCTATTAGGCTTCCAAAATGAATCCCTCCAACAATTTCAATTAGGTAAGAAATTCTTCTCCCATCCTCACTTGAAACAACTGTGAATGCATTCCCTACTGTCTTTACTTGGACTCATGGAGGCATAAGTGCACTTGTTGAGAAATACATTTGACAACCGAGAGTTGAAAGATTCTGTGGAGATGTGAGGTTACTGTCATATTTCTGTGAAAATCCATAGCCCAACCTCTGGCCTTTTAAGAGGGAAATAAACATTCTTTCTACAGTTAAAATATCCAGTGGTGCCATTACTCCCAACACAAGGAAGTCAACACATAAATAAAATATTAGTGGTGATTGTAACAACATGTTCTTTTTTTTTTTAAAGTCTTATCATTTTTAAGTAGCTTGAACAACACATCCTGAAATCACCAAAGGCATCTGTATAGTCTTTCTGCAGGAAATGTGTACGCAGAAACCTTAAAAGAAACTTAAAACGTTTGAATTTTTTTGGGCTATAATTGTGAACTTTCTCCTTTTTGCTACAGATTTAAAAAAATTGACGTTGCCTGACTTTACCCTTCCTATCTCCCTCTACTTTCACCTATCTATATGATATACTTGTGAAAATGGATACATTTCGAGAGAAATGACAATGGAAAGAAATGATCCCATGCCTAAGCAGGAAGGACATGCAAAACGAAAGCAGCACTGGAGGAGGATTATGAGAAAATGAAACAGATAAATGGACAGAAACACCAAATAATTCTTTGCACGTGTTTCTTTCTCTCTCCCCATTCTTCTCTTTGAAGAACATGGGCCTTGTCATTTCCTCTCTTTGTCTTTCTTGTCCTCCACGGAATCTCCAGAACTTCTAAAACAAATCAAGTCAAGAATTAACCTTTTAAGCATGAACTATATCTCTTTGCTATGCCATGTGTCGGTCTATAAATCATTCTGTGGTAGAAGTCTGGGAAATCTGTGCTCTTCCAATCCTCAGGTGACTACACAGGGAGTGCTGGCAGCAGCCCCCCTCATTTACTGTGATGGCTTTCCTCTGGCTGAAACACTGTTTTGCTACAGTCTTGAGTAGGAAAGAGCTCTTCAAATAATTTCTTCATGCAATATAAAGCAACACCACCGTTATAAAGCTAGCACAGTAGTAAGGTTATAGGCCCAGAGGAAAGAATGGTAAAGCATAATTGTTTGTGAGTAACAAGGTAATTCCATAGCCTAAAGCTGTATAATTATGCTAAGACTAAATCACAGGGGAAAAGATCAAGGGTGCGAGGCAGGCCCAGGCTGCTAGAACCTTTTCCCAGGTGGCATTGCCCAAGACTGCTCCCCCTACAGAACTCGGAGGTGCTGGCTCCTAGCAATCCCATCACCCCTGCCACACAGCCATGGAAATAACAATGACAACAATTAGCTGAATGCCTAACATGTGCCAGGCACCAGGCACTGTTACCTCTAATCACTCCCTTAGCCCTGCAAAGTCAATTATACTCTTTTAACAGAGACATTGAATTAGCTCATCCAAGGTCACACAGTTAGGCATTGGCTGACCCAGTATTCAAATGTATATCAGCCTGACTCCAGTGACTCTACTCTTGCCAATACTCAAAAGAAGGGTGAAGCCCGCCCATAGGTCTTCGGTATCTTTCCACTCTCTGTAAATAGCTATACTCTACATGCATACTCTTCAAGGAAAAGAGAATGCTGGGAGAAGAATAGAGTTTTCCTTAGGCAGGGTTTCTCAACTTTTGAAAAATATTAATATTATCATACCCCAAGAGCATTTTTAAACATTTTTTGTTTCTAATAATACACTAATTTTTTTTTTCTTCTGTACCATGGACCTTTAGGGGACCACAAATCATTGTAACATCTAAGATTTTTCTCAACACCGCAGTGGCGGCAGTGGGCAGTGATATTGCCCCTGTTGGGAATGTATGCTCTCAAGTGACACAGCAAACGCATCGTTGAAGCTCTCCTTTTATTTAACAATACCCAACAGGGATAACAGAGTTCATCTTCCCCTCCCATTCATCAGCTAGATTAAATACCTTATGAAAGAATCTGATTGGTGAACATCCACAGTGGATCCATGGGTCGATTTGGTAAAGAATGGGAACGATTCAGAGCATTCTGAGCACTTACAGACATTTCAGATGGGAAAATCTGATGTCAAGACAAGCAAAACAAGCAAGGCTGCAGTGATATAATCAAAATCATTGCCAGCCATTATTATTTTTTGTAATTGTTGATTGATCTGTAATTTGATGGTGAAATCCAGGCTTTTATAATAAACCACGGGCTGAACTATCCAATTAAGAATGTAGAGGCTCAAGTGAATCCAAATACATGACTGGATTTACTGAGAAACAAAGGTGATTTTTAGCAGAGGGACCAATTAAAAACTCCTGAAAAGTGGGAAGAGATTTTAATTCAAATCGAATTAGCCTTTTTAAAGCACACACTATATACCAGATAGTGGTCCGAAGGTTTTAAAATTATCATATATCTAAGCTTCATGATACCTCTGTGAGGCAGATAGAAACTTTCACCTTTTACAGCCCAAGAACCTGAAGCTCAACACAGATATTCAAAATTCACCTACTTAAAACCACACAGCTGTCAAGTGGCAAAGAAAGTCAAACATGCTTCAATAAATGCTAGGTCTTACTTTGGTCTTGGCTGCAATTATTCTTTACTTTATACACATCTGATACATCAAAGTGCATTTTTATGCATAAAAACATAACTCTCAAAACCAAAAATAATTGGGGGGGGTGTGTGCATATTTGAAAATTACAGATTTATTTATTACAGATTTATTCAGATTTATTTAGAAAATAATTTGTGGTTTTTCTACTTCTTAAGTCAGAAACTTTAGAAAACAATAAATTTTAAAGACATCTATGGACTGCTGACTGGTAAGGAGAGAAAATTTTGTACTTTCCCACCAAGTCTCTTCTGTTCTCTTAATTTCTTTTTCCTATATCTAAAACTGTCACAGATCAAAACTCAGAATGAGGGAACAGAATGCATATTCCTGTGCTTGGGTGTGGGATCTAAACTAATAATGATCTGTCTTAAATTGCCTATAACATGCAAAACTTGGGAAACATAATCCTAAGCATCTCTGATTATTGCTCAGTCTGGGGGAAGCAGCATACTGTACTTGGTTTTCTTAACCCTTTGTGACCTGACCAGACAACACAAACAATAGCTGTTTAGAAAAACAGAATTGATTTATTCATTGCTAAATAACTAATAAATAGCTAAGATGTATCAGGCTTATACTAGACACTGGCTAAGCAGAAATATAGTACCTAGTTAAGAATCCCTGCCTTCCAGGAGCTATAGCCTAGGTCAAAGTAATAGAAATTAAATAAGAAACAAGTATGTGAATATCTACTTATGATTTTGATGAATATTTGATTGAGAAAGAAACAGGATGCCTCCTTGATAGAGAATGAGGGTGGGGACAGCCACTTGGGAGTCAGTATTAGTTTCTAATACTGAGATGAGTCTTAATTGTGGATGAGAACTTGGCCATGAGAAAAGGAGGAAGATGGGCTTGCAGCCTGAAGGAATACGTGGGCTCAGAAGAAGAAATGAGCTTGGCATATTTAAGGAACAGAAGAAGATCAAAGTGTCTAGTGTGCTGGGGACAAGGAGAGAGTGGCCAGAGATTCTTACTGGAATGCAGATATTCCAGGAAGGCCAACTTAGGTACGCCACTGACGCTGCAATAGAGAGATGGGGTCTTATTCTAAGACCTGTGGGGAACTTTAAGGGGTTTTAAACCAGAGAAAGGCAGGGTCTTATTTACAAATTTAGAAGATCACTTTGGCTGACTGAAGGGAAGAAGGAGGCAACCTGCGTATCAGCAGAGAGTCTATCGCAGTGTCCAGACACAAAACATTGGTTTACTAGACTAGTATGGTAACCAAGGCAAATGGGATTGATAATTCAAGGACTGATCTTTGATTAACGCTTTGAGGAGGACATTCCTGACAGCTATACCTGGTAAGGAAGAAAGAAAATATGTAGGACCACCGTAATCACTCCATGGCCTTCTTATAATTGAGTAGACCCCACCTTCACTAGGACAAAATTAGCTGCCTGTCACCTGATTCTCTCTGGCTGCATGGACTCTTTTGTGACTCTTCCTTAATGGCAGTTTTGATGGTTTATTCCTGAAAAACACTTGTATATCAGTATCAGGAATAGCATTGGAGAAGAGACTAGATGTTGATTGGCCCTGTGGCTTTTTCTTTATAAACCCTACTCCTAAATTATATGACATTAGATGATTAAAAACAAAATACATGAAGTACTTAATTTCCCCTAGCACATTACCATAATCTAGAACATAAATTGCTGCCCTACTGAGCTAGGAAAAATAACAGAGGGATTCAGTCTCCTGCTTAAATGAACGTTGGTATGCTAGATGTGTTTGCACAATTATGAAGATGACAATTCTTAGGACAGTATGTTTCCTGCTTCTTCTGGAGTCTCAAACTGGTTTGCACTTTTCAGACAACAGATTGTAGCCCAGCCTTCATCTTTTACCCGACTCCAACATGAAGTTTATGCCTTTAGTGTCTCACTGCAACTGAGTGACAGTCACATTAGAAAAGCAACCTGATAAGGAAATACTAAGGAGTATTTGTAGCCTAAAATGTGACTCCTGCAGGGCTTTTGCATTATGACAAGACTTCTAGAGTCCAGATTCTTATACTGACAAATCAAAGTTTCTAGTGGCAAAATGTCTCAGAGACAGGCTGGTGGGCGTGTTATTTGGAAGCAGTCATTTTTTGAGCAGCCCTTCCCTAGTCAGATTGCAGAGCTGAATGGCTGTTCCACATGCTTGGGAGGCCAGCCCTGCTTCTCAGAGTTCTAGATGGTGTGTTTTCTCCTCTTGTTTATGTGCACAGAGGTGACAGCAGCCCCCCAGCACTGGAAACTGGCCAGCAGTCAGTCAACTTACAAGTATCTATTAAACTTGTATGTATGTATCTATTAAACCCTAGGGTGCATCATCCTCTTGGGGTCTGGTCTGGTGGCAGCTTCTACATTTCTATGAGCCATAACTTTTTCTGACACGACTTAGCTCAGGGAGGATTTATATCTTGAATGCAAATGTTTATGGGTTAAAAGCTTATTTAAATGTGCCCAGGGTAGCTTGGGTAGGAGACCAGCCTTGCCTTCTTGTCACACATTCTCTCTCTGGAGCCAGTTAAAGACTGGAAAAATAGCTTCGGGGGGGCATGTGGAAATTTAAGAGGTCAAACACAACCAAAGCAACATTTTACGAGACTAGCATTAGAACCATGATTGAGAATAGAAGTAAATAAGAATCCATCTCTTTCTCTCTCATCAAACATCAATATAATTTCCTGACTATCTGGAATGTTTTAGGGGTGAGTGGGTTGGATTGCTATATTAAGAGTCACATATTTTATATTTCTCAGATGTTATAGAATTTGTCTCACTATGAATAGAGATAACTGAAGCCTGTTGTTGGAAGTACACTATTACAGAGTAGGCTTCGAACAAAAATGATTACTTCAGAGTTCACTGTGATATTAGTAGGACACACCTTCCCAAATCACTGATTTATGGATTTAAGACTGATGGATGAGCTTCATAAGTGCATTGCTCCTTGGAGGCAGAAAGCTCCCTGCCACTGCTGATATGAGTGGAGAAGAGATGACACTTCTTGGCAAAGATTCTGAGCCTGAGGTGCTTTGATGCTAGAGTCTTTCTAACTCTGAGGAGAGAATACATTCCATGAGTGAGCTAATGAGTGCGTGTATGTGTGTGTGTGTGCATGCATGTGTGGGTGTGGTCAAGTGCATGTGTGTGCAGTGTACATGTGTGTTTTATAGTTGCTGGAAAGAATAGAGGTCTAACTAAAAATCCTATCCAGTGAAAAAATTTCTGATGAAATTGTCCCTGCACTGACTTGATTCAATTGTATTCAACATTTCCCATGTTTTGCCTTAATGTTAAAGTTACTCATAAAGTTTTTGTAGAACATACAAATGTATTTCATATTAATTTCTCTTCTATTCAGTCAGGTCCACTTATTGAAGAATTTTTATCTCTAATATCTTCCAATCTATTGCCTTCTTTCAGTCCCCAGTGCTTTAGTTCGAGCCCTTTAGTTTCTTATCTAGACAATTTTAATAGCCTTCCAACTAATTTCCTTAACACCCGCATGGCCTCTCTCCACCTTGTCCTTCCACTGCTGCCCAAGTGATTATTCTAAAACCGAAAGCTTGTTAAATCACTTTCAGCTTAAAATCACTAAGTGGCTCCTAATAGCTTTAGCAAATATCTAATAGCTAACAAAAACATCCTTTATTGGGGCCGACCTATGTGGTAGATACCATGCCAGGCACTTTTATGTAGATTCCCTTATTGAATCTTCATCATTCCCTCATTTCAGGTGCTAGAACTAATTTGCATGTTTTAGCAAAAGGAGTGAATTGTAAGGTTCAGAACATCTATCAATAGACATAATCAAATGGTGTGCCAGTATCTTCTTAGTTTCAATCCAAAACAATATTAAACAATATCAAGATATTACCAATGTAACAGGCTGAGACATATGTCATTGTTACATATCTGAGTGTGTCTATGGGATAAATTCTTAAGAGGAATTGCTCTGTCCAAGGCTTTCTATGGTTTTAAATATCAGAAAAATATTGTCAGGTTACCTTCCATAGAGGCTGTACAATTTATCTTCATACCAGTAATGTACTCACCTCTTTGTTCACATAAAAGTCTTGATTTTTGCCAATCTGATAAATGAAAAATAGTATCACCTTGTAGTTTTAATTTGCATTTATCATTACTAGAGGAAGGTTGTATAAAAGGGGAATCTGGCCAAAGTTCTCTCAGAACAATTGGTATATAGGTGCAATTATTATCTCTCTTTTTGCAGGAAGGAAACTGAATTGAGATACTCTCAAATTAACTCTATAACTACACTCTCAAACTTAACTTTATAGTTACATATCATTAATCAATTTATTCACGAAAGTTTCAATGCCCACCTACTGTATTCCAGGTCACTACACGGGCTCCAAACTCCCCAACATGCACAAGCTCCCCAAATGCACTGGGCCCTTACCTCCACATCTTGGCACTTGCTGTCCTAATTTTCTGGAATGTGCCCCTTCCTTTCTTAATCAACTGATTTTACCTTATATGCTTTAACAACTTCCTATGTAAGCATCACTTTCTCCAGAAAGCTTTCCCAGACTTGAATTCCTTTCCTCTGTGTTAACATAACACCCTCTTGACCTCTAGTCCATTCCCAAACACCCTGCATTATGGTCGTGTTTCACTGAAACACTCCTGATGGCAAGACTGCCTCTTATTTGACTTTGATTTTCAGGTACCTGATCCAAGGTCAGGCACATAATACGTACTAAATATATGTTCGTCGAATCAGCAGAATAAGTGAATGATTGAATACAACCAACTAATTAAAATTCAAACAATGAAAAAGATGACGTTTGCACATTACTTTTTTTCTTAAGAAGATACAGTGTTACTTTATTGTTCACACAATTTTATTTTCTCAAAGGCGGTATACTTTTTAGAAGCTGTTGTTATTTAATGTATTCTGGTTTATTTTTCACTTGGACAGAAGACAGTAAAGGCCTTTTAGTCAGGGATTTTCAATTGTCTTGGAGATTTCGGAGCCCTCTGAGGGCTCCTGAAAGAGACAGAGTGGTTGAGGGGGCTTCACTTCTCCTTCAGACTCCCCCTCATGCCTTCATACTCACCTCTCCCCTTTAACCAAAGCAAGGTATCATCTGTGTGACACCTTGGATTTCTGTGTAGACTTTTTTTTAATAGAAAAAGTTCTATGGTTGTAAAATATTTTGTAGTATCTTATAGTATTTTATATAGGGGAAAGCTCAAGTCTACAAATCAGGAAATGTGGGTTCTAGTCTTGCCTCTGTCTGTAGCTAGATTTCTGACCCCACACTAAACAATTACTCCTCTGGGCCCTATATCTTAATCTGTAACATAAATCCTCTAGACTAGATGAGGACAAAGTCCCTTATAGCTCTACAAAAATATATTGGTTTATATCCACATATTACAGTTTAAATTCTAAACCTTCTGCTGTTTTGAACACTGTAGTCAACAATTTCCTTTTTATTCACCACTTTGTTCATAGAGTACTGCAACTATCTTTGCCCTTTTAAAAAGTAATGATGAGTTTCCAGTTTCTAATGTGTTAAGAGCAATTTCCTTGTCCTTACCTTCAAAACCCCTCACAGGAGACTGCACCATCCAACCATTGCATCCTATTCGTCCTCTTCTCTGCCTACTCATCACATGCCCTTTGATATTCACAGTCACTTGTATCTCCTTTATTTATTACTTGCTCCTTTAGACCTGGAAATTCTTTGTTTTTTAATTTATCTTGAAAAGCCCTTTATAAATTAGGCATTATCCATGAAATCAACTCTATATGACTAAAGAACAATGTTTATCATTTTATTTTTTTTTTTACTTAAAAGCCAAAACAGCTGTCATGATAGATCTCATATGTCTCTGTGTGTGTGTGTGTATATATACACATATACATATATATATACAGATTTACTTTTTATAAAACAAGATTTATTATGTAAATTATAGTAATGAGAATCTACAAGCTCCTTGAGGACTAAATTTATATCTGTTTTAACTACTGCATAAAATGTACAGGAAACCACCTATGTGAACATGTGCATTTGTAAGCTTTTTGTATTTATAAGAACTCATATTTAAAATATAGAAGTGAAGAGACCCCTGATATGAAATTAGAGATGCTCTGAATGTAAAATATAATTCAAAAATTCATCTCCAATATTAGCTTCTTAGTTCTTTTCTGTTGTATTGCTTTTCCTGTCAGCCAAGAACACCTCTAATTTTGGAAATATCAGTAATGTATTCTCAAAAGACATCCCCTCTACAGAGTGATAATTTCCTGAAAAAGGAGAGGTAGTTTGTGGAGTAGAAGGAAACCCCGCTTCTGTCATTTTCTTTGTTCCTTTGTCGTTGTTGAAAGCCTTCAAGACATTGGCTTTAAATCTTATCTCAAGGACGCTTTTCAGCACTCCCTTTCTCCAAATTCTGATCTGTTGCTGTTGCTTGAAAAACACAGGCCTAAGTTCTGAAACAGACCGAGGAGGTCAAGTTTTTCGATGGGGCACGTTCCTATTAATAATCCAGGGTGGCCCCAAGAGGCAGCCTATCTTCCCCTCCAGGGGTCCAATGGCTTCCGCCGCATTCCAGCGGGGCTTGGTCTCTCCCCACACTCCATCTAATGAGCTGACTCTTCCCTTTATCTGACACCTCAAAGGCCTCGCTCTCCCTGGGCCACTGTGGGGACTGCCTTTTTTGCTATCATTTTTTTCCAATGAGGGTGGTACTTCCACCTCCTGTAGAGCCAAATTACTCTCCGACTGCAGTGTTCTGTCCATTTGTAGGGCTCCCTTACTGTGTCTCAGAGAGCAGCAGCTGTTCTTTAGACACTGGAATTCACACTGGGTGTCACTACCTCTCAGGAATTCCTCCTAGTGTCTTACTACTCACTGGTTGGTTAACTTTCTGGCCTGTAAAATTCTAGTGACTCACTGGATGTGAATAGGGTAGGTAACATAGTCTAGCAATGTAGTGAGAAGACACATTTTCTTTAGGAAATTACTCTCTTTAATCATTTCAAAAACTATTTTCATTCAAAGGGTTTCAGCCCAAAACAAAATGACCTGGAAGGCTAAATAGATGCCTAAAGCCTTGTATACTTACTATGTCACTCTTCTAATCCCCCTGACACTGGATCATCAATAGATGGAATGAGCCCTAAGGTCCTTTTGTCTCAGCCTCCTTAATGCTGAATGGGGGAATAGGAGGCAGAATATCATTAACCCTGCCTCCCCTCTCACCACCATCCTTTACTCTCCTAATGTGCGGGAGCCCTCTGATTTTATGACTTAATTTATTCTACCAGTTTCTTTTCATTAGTAAAGCAGAAAAGGCAACAGCATTCTATGCACATGCTCTAGCTTACGGTATTAACTGAGCCAGATTCTTAATGTCATGATGCTAGTCTGCAGTTCTGATGGCAAAGATGCTCTGCAGTGTATGTTTGTGTGTGTTTGTGTGTGCGCACATGACAGAAAGGGAGAGATGCATGCACGCACACTCTACACACGGACAGAAACCTGTCTCACTGATTTCCAGTTCCCCAGACTTTTGCAAAGTCTCGAGTATGGAGACAGAGATGTTATTGGGAACTGATTTGGATTTTAATACTCTCACATATTTAAAGAAAGTAAGGCAGGAGGAAGGATTACATGGCCTTTTTGAAATGTCTTGTCATGAAAGATTGATCTATAGCACAGACACAAGTTCACCATTTTATTTTGTTTTTGTTTATTGTCCTTTTCCTTGTGGCCCTCAAGCTTTTCAATCCACTTACTTTGGTCAGCTTTGAGAAGCCTTACAATTGTAGGTAGTGCATCGGTTGTGGGGTATGGGCCTGTTCCCTTCTCCTTCATGCCTGCCATGCTCTATTTTGCTCAAATGCTGATGAGGATGCAACTAAGGGGGACTTTATGTATGTTTGATGTAGAATCATGCTGAATTTGTCTCTGGCTATTGCACTTACTCAGTTGGGGCTTTACTTACATTTCTCCAAATTTCTTATGTACAAAAACGAGCTAAAGTATGCTGTTTGGTGAATGTCAGAAAATATTTAAGGTGCACCTCTGATATTTACTGTGATGCCAAGGGTCTCAACCGACCTATGAGTGATAATTCCTTAACATAATAAAGTCTATTTTACCTTCTAGGCAGTGACATATTAAAGCTTTGTTTCTTTTCTAATCAGAAAACCCCCAGGGGTTCCTCTCTACTAATATTTAGTTGAGGTATTAAGATGTGAATTATATACAGAAACGCATGTTTGAAATCACAATTTGAGCTTCCAAGACTATCCCAATCATACCAAAATGTCAATTTTTAATGCTTAGGTTCCATAAAGTCACATTCACTGAATTAGTGAATACTGAATCATTGCTCCCAGGGTTAATACAGGGATAGGTTCCCGGAAGCCTCTGGTCACAACATTTTTGTCAGCTGATTGACACATAACCGTGTTTCATGTGTTTTTCTGTTTAAAGACATGTTATTGACTATATACTGTTGATTCATTAACATTGAACTCCCACCAACAGTGCTGTAAGTCATGCCCTTTGGAAGCTTATCTAACACATGTACTTTCTCCATAAGGCACAGCACAGTCTTCTTATGCTTAGGAACTCTAGACAGCACTTCAGCGTACTTGGGGGCCATTTTAAGCAGTAAAATCACCACCAAAAAACACTCAACACACACACACGTGCACATGCACACCCACGTGCACATGCACACGCACAAACACACACACAAGTGAAAAAAAGGCACTAAACAGACCACAAAGGGATACTTATTTTCAATTTAAGAACTGGATCAAAGAGGCACCTCAGGTGGGAATGCTCATGTGCTCAGGCAACTCACATTTTTTACCAATCCGAGTGTGTCCACAGATGACTATGAAAACATGGCAAGTTTTGGGAAGTACAAACACTTCCCAAGCTGGGAAGTACATCTATTGATGATCCCAAGTTTTGGGAAGAATGGATAGATTTTAGCAAGTAGGAGAGTATGCAAATAATGGGATTCGCAAATAATGGGATTCGCAAATATTGGGATTCACAAATAATTAGAATTGACTACAATTTGTAATTTAGACTGAAGTATCAGACAATACAGGCTTCTAGAGAATAAACAATTCCCACCCCATAGACCTTCATGATCTGGTAAATCTCTTCTGGAAAAGGCTAAGAGGCAGAGGCTTCTTCAGATAGCTCTGGCCTAATAAAGTTTGCCAGGTACTGCAGACAATTGTGTACTTGTAACTATCCATCTGTGGTTGCCTTTGATTTAACAGGTTCATGCAACGCTTAGCTTTTAATCCTGCCTTTTCTTCCAACCTGAAATAACCAATAATCACCCATCCTTTTGGGGCTTTTTAAAGGGGTTTCCTTGCTAGCCCTAGTACTGCTGGCACCTAGGTAGAGGGTAGAGCTTCATCTTTCCTCAGAGAATTTCAAAGTGCAAAACACTTTATAAGCCTATATATAATATATATGATAATATATGTATAATAAGGAAGGAAGTTATATTTGCAATAAGTAGCTGTCATACTTTTATTCATTTTAATATTTCATTTTAAAATAAAAATATGTAAAATCAAGACAGTGTAATTTAAGTTCTTTTTCCTCGTATTAGTAGCTCAAGTGGATATAAAAAAATTAAGCACACTAAAAACAGGGCTAGAAAGTCTACCAAATATTTCTAGGAAATTGCAGGGTTCTTCACTCTGATGAATTAGGCTCTAGAGAAAGCCGATAGCACATAGTCAGAGAGGAGAAATTAGATAGGTCTCTTATTAAATCTTCTTTGAGAAGACTCAGTTATTTTTCCCAAAAGATGGAATTGTTTCATTATACCTTTTTGCCTATTTTCCAGATGCTGTATGGCTTAAAGGAACTTTCATAAAGATTTTGGACATCTTCATAAATAATTCTTTTCAGACACTTAGCCTCTGTTACTATTTCTTCTGAGCAACCAGAACTAAATAAACATCACTTTCTTGATGCCACTGGTTTATTAAAATATGTCTGTAACTTCCTGTTTCTAATGCATCTAATGTAATTCTACTGGTTGAAAATCTAGGTCTTGCATCCCCTGATCTGGGTTATTTCCTTCTTCCCTTTAATATAGCAGTGCTAAAAACTTAGTGAGCATTCAAATTACCTGGTAGGCTTGATAAAGTACAGATTCCTTGGACCCACTCCCAGAATTGCTGATTTAGTAAGTCTGGTGTGGGATCCAATAATTTGTATTATATTTTTAGTAAGTTTCCAAGCTTGCTCAGGGACCATACTTTAGAGTCACTATTATTAATATGATCTGTTTAAGTAGATACTTAGTATGATGCCTGGGACATTGTAAATGCTCAATAAATGCTAAACATATAGCAGTTTTTCTACCATCCAATAAATATGACACTTTCAATCTTAACATTGTTTAATTGCCCTTATTTTATAAATATTCCATGTTTACCCTATCCTAGCTTACTCAGATCCGTCTTGACTCAGGTGAAATTCCAATCAATTTTTTAAAAACTTTTATATCATCATCGGTTCTTCCTTTCCTGAGTACACATTGATCTATGCCATTTATTTAATTTTTAATGATATATTGGCATAAACGTTTACTAATTTGTCTCCGTGGTGAAATTGTCTTTCCATCTAGTTGAAGAGGGCTGATGTGATATCTTGCATATCTGTTCAACCTCTCACAATGCCCAAAACAACTATTGCATGATCAAGGTGGATTGTTTGCTTTTAAGGTGCTTAAATATGCATCTGCTTTGAAGATTATAGAGAAACTAAAAAAACTACATATTTGGCTAATAAGAGGGTAGATGGTGAGAGTAAATACATATTAAATTCTTCGTAAAGTACGAAAGGATGCTTAAAAAACTATTATTCCTCAACATTATTGCCAAATAAAAATTTGCTTTTTAGTTGTTTCTGTTTTTTTTTTTACCTGTTTCTTATTGCAAAGTTGGAGTATTTCAAATCTCAAATCCTACTGAAAAGCTGAAACTTATCTTCATTATAAATATTTAATATAAACATAATTGTATATAATATTAGTGTAATGCTAGTGTAAAATATAGATGTGGCTTAAATGTTATAGAATCTCAATTTGCTTCCTTGGGGTTCTAGCTCTACACTTCACTAGAAATCCATGAATTCCATGCAGAGGAATCTATCAAAATCAAGCACAGGGACTGAAGGATGGCAATTTCAGGTAGATAACTATTGCTATTTTTATGGTTGGAGACTGCAGTTGTGTTCAGATTTCTGGGAACCAGATAGTATTTCAAAAATGTTTTCCATAATTTTTTTTCAAAAAGAATGAGGATTTCCTGTAAATGGACTTAGGCTTTTCATAATTTTTTGTACCCTCTCCTTTCAAAATAGCCACATAAGATACTACCCATTGGACTAAGCAACTGCTCTTCAGCAAGGTGATAACTCTTCTGGGTTTAGAGGGTTGACTTATAGTTAATTTTTGTAAGGGAAAATTACTTGAATATCATTAGGTTTATTAGACATCTTTGTAGATAACTTTGGTTTACCATAAACTTTAAATTCATTCATTTGTTAATTAATAAATATTTATTGAGTGCATATGTGTGCTGGATATTGCACTAAATATTTTGGGGGATAAAAGGATGTATCAGATATGGATTCTACTTTCAATCATCTTATGTCTGGTAGAAAATATATGTCTATAAATAACTACATTTTGAGGTAGAAAGAAGTGTCGTAAGAGAGGCTAGAGGCAATGCCTTCTGAGAAGGTGTACAGAGTATCCGAATGACATTGAGGAAGGCTTTATGGCAGAGCTCTATTTAGGTTGGGGCAGCAAGGATGCACATAGATATGTGGAATTAGGGAGGTAAACTGCTTTTACTAAATCTGGTCACTCTTCATGTCAGTTGAATTCTAGAGAGAGGGCCCTGGTCAGGGTGAAGGGATTTAAACGTGAATGCTGAACTTCCGTGGCTCAGTTTGACTGGAGCTCAAGGGCAGCAGGAAGAAGGGTGGGAGAGCTGGCTGGTGTGAATTCAAAGAGGGCTGTCAATATCAGGCCAAAGAAGATGGGTTTGAGTCTATATATAATGGGGAGGATAGCTCCTTGAATCAATCTACGCTTTAACAAGATTAGTATGGTGATAGAGTATAAATTGAGTTGTCTGTAATCTCACTTCTGGTCTCACGTCTATAATGTTGATGAATTGGTCTCTTTATGGGCATTTCCCCCTCCTGCACTTTGAGATGTGCAAGAATTTCTTGGGCACTATTGCTTCGTTCAATAAGAGAGGGCCCTAAGATCCACGGCCGCTTTAGTGAAAGGACTTATCTAGAGGGTTACAAAATAAATTAAGCATATAAATCTCGGGAGAAAGACTGTGATCCAGTTATATGTTCACTTTATGATTCAATGGCCATATGATGAACTTTCAAAAAGCAGTGAAAGAAAAAAATCAAGAGGAAGCAGCACTATAGAAATGCATAGTTTCCAGTAGCAGAGGTGATTTTTATCAAGCCCAAGTTGCTCCAGATGGCAGTGTGTAGTTGAATTTGAAAATGGAGGAAGTCATGGGTGTAGCAGGTAAATACTGACATCCTCCAAATAATCTTTGACTCCTCCATAAAAAAGGAGTCCGGCAAATAAATATTTTAGGTGTGTTACATTACAAAGTTATTTGATGAGATCTGCAAAGTTGCTGGTTTTGAATTATTAATGATCAGGGTATACATTCATAGTGAGAGAAAATAGGTAGTAGTCCCACCATACACTATCCATTTTCTTTCACATTATTTCATACCTAAACTGTGATGAGAAATTAATTACAAAATCTACTGCAATCCCTCTCAATGTACTATTAGGCTGAGAAACTCTAAGTCAGCCTTCTAGGCTTTCCTTTTTTAATTGACATGGATTTGCAGAAATTAGCTAGGTATTAAAAATTACCAAAGAAAAGGTTAATTAAACCAACCCACACAAATTGACAAAATCAGAAAGTCACCTGTTTGTTCTGTAAGCATAATGTATTCCATCAGATACAGCTCTTGAGTTTTATGCATGAAATGTCTTTTTTTTTTTTCCCATACTTCACGAAACTGGGGTCGCTTTGTGCTGCAGCTTTCCAATTTGCCTGTCCATTCTCATTTTCCTTCCTTAGCTGAGTGCCCCCTTTCGGCAGATGGTTTGATGGTTCCTCTTTTCCAAACGCATAAGCACGATGTATGTGCAAAAAGAAGGGCAATTCCGCCCTCAACTGGCCAGAGCAGTGATTGCATTTTGAAATTCTCTGAGCTTGAACCTAGCAGAGGCAATGGAATGTATTTAAAGATATGAAATGTGCTTTCCTGTGAATTTTATAGTTTAGTGATTTCCCAAGGCACACTCATTACTGTCGGTATTATTACCCCTTTCATGGTATTTCTGGAATTATCAAGGAAGAGAAGAAGAATAGATGCTGAACTCCTCAAGGAATAGTACTTATCACTGGCATTTTCCAGACTGCTGGCTAAATGGAGTCAACAAAGGTTTAAATTCTTAATAGACATTTCGGAGGCCTGTGATAAAAATCTCTGAAAAGGATACGTGAATGGCTTATAACTGTTTTTCATTTGTCTCTCTAATTCACCTGTCTGCTTTTTAGGAGGAAATCAGCATTAAATTGATTTAGTACTTTCTAAATCCAAAGATGAAAATAAGTGTTTTGATGCTTCCTCATGACATCCCAGGCTTAATGGGAAGAAAGGAAATAATTTCCCACTACCTAAAGGACCCTGAGCATATTAATGGTCAATACGGAGGGCAAGAATCCACCCTGCAGCCTGAGGACCCCAGGCAACTAAGTCAGCCCCTTCCACTAAAAAGAGCAGTATTATTTCCAATAGAGCTAAGAGGCTGAAATAACAGTGACAGAAACTAAATCTCTGCTGTAGCTTCAAAATGCTTTGAAAAAGGAACCATGACATTTTTGTTTTATGGGTCAACTGGGTATAACTGGGCTGCCATTAGACACAGGTAGACATTCAGAGTCCCAGATTACTCTTACATCAATGAATATATTAATTACAAGTTTACTTTTCAAATGTTGCACTGATACCTTAATTTAAACTGCTGAATTATGATGTATTAATTTGGGTTTACAGTATTTTCAACTAATTTAGGCTAAACCTGGTGACCCAAATGAGCGAGGTAGTGGTAGATATAAAGGGTGGGGGGATCAGGTTCTCAATTAGAGATATTTCTCTAGCAAGATAAATACTCACATGCATTGTGTAATTGGTCCTGAGGCTGTGATAATGAGCACGTCATCAGAAATCTCAAAAAATTGGCATAACCAGCTGGAAACCTATTCCTGAACTTTGAACTCGAATTCAACCTCTACTTGGCCATAATTTTATTGACTCTCTGTTATTTATCTGAAATTCAGCATGTTGAGAATAAATATTTTAAAAATAAATAAAAATATACTTACATAGAAATAATAAGTTCTAGTATTCAATAGTACAGTATGGAAATTATAGTTAATAATAATTTGTTGTATATTTCAAAATAGCTAGAAGAGAAGAATTATAATGTTCCCAGTACAAAGAAGAGATAAATGTTTTAGGCAATAAATATGATAACTGCCCTCATTTGATCATTACACATTGTATACATGTATCAAAATATCACATGTACCCCCAAATATGTATAACTATATACATATATATACACATCATATATATATATGTATACACATTTATACACATATATACACACATACATATATACACATATATACACATATACGCATATATACATATATGTATATATGCGTATATACATATATGTATATACGCATATATACATATATGTATATATACGCATATATACATATATATACATGATATATATATATACATCAATTTTTAAAAAACAACGCATGTGAAATTTACATGCAACTGCAGTAAAATCTAAAGCATAAAGTTTGCTAAAGAGGAATTTGGAATTATTAAACCAAAGCTTGGGGAAAAGACACCCTCAAAAACAAAACAACAAAACAGCATTATCATCATCATGGTGAATCCACTTCCCCTCCTGACCTGTCTTTTCTGTCAGCATCATTTTCTCAGTAACTTGGGTTTGTTTTTCCACTCCTTTTTTTTTTTTGCATTATTTTCCAGAAAGAATGGTTTCTAAACTACAGTGATTCTTTTCAAATTGTCTTCCTTCATCATTCTTCTATTTAGACTACCATCACCATAATTTTGTCACAACTCATAACTGAGTTATACAACATTGTAACTTAATGTCCTGCTTCTAGTCTCTCCATTCTATAGTCCATTTTCACTGGATGCTCATTGAGTACAGAATGAAAGTCAATACTCTTAATCTGGCTTTCAGAATGTCCTAGAATCTGGCTCTGGCCTTTGCTGCTGAGTCGCCTACTTTATGCTCCCACTAAATACATGACCTTGTTCCTCATGCATGCTCCATGCCAGCCAGATTCTCTGCTCTTCCCAGGCAATTCTTACTACCAGAAATGTCTTCCTCTTCCTTTTCGCTTATTAAAACTATATCCATCTTTTAAGGACAAGGTTATATGCTATCTTTTTTTGTGACAACTTCTCTGATTACCATGCTAAGAAAGAGATCCCATGCTTCCCTCATCCAGCCTTCTATACATGAAAAGAGTAATATTTGTCATGGCATACATATGGTATATTTTATCCTTCGCTATATCTCTCATTAACTTTATTAGATTATATGCTGTTTGAAACCAGATACAGTGACTCATTAATCCTTATATTCAATCAAACACTTAAACATATAGCATTCTGTACATGTGAAATAGCTATTTCTGTTAGTGATTTGAAAACATACTTTAGGGGAAAACGCATTTATAAAGAAAATACCCATACTTTAATGTCTTATATTCAAATCAGGAGTTTCAACTGAATACCTTGCTGAAAGAAAAATACATTAGCCTCTCATACAGAAACAGGTTTCAAAGAGTGTAATAACACAATTCTTTACGGTGATTACCTCAGTGAATAGGTTTAAAACAAATGTAATTAACACATTGATCACTTATAAGTAAATAGGTACTTTTAAAAAGAAAAATTGAATTTTTTCCTTGATTGTTCCTAAACTTGCCTTCTGGAATTTCAAGAGCAGCTAAGCTTAATAAATCCTTTAGTTGTAAGTACTCTGTCCAGCCCATGTCAAAATATTTTGAAATACTGAAGATGAAATTAATGAGATTCTTCTGCATCTCATATCCACCCTGAGCTGTGGTCTTCTTGATACCTGTGAATAGAATGGTGAACAGATACTTCATTCAACAAATATTCACTGAGCAACCAATACATATCCGGCACAGAGGAAACCATATAACAAAACAGACAAGGTCTTTGTTCTCATTTTTAAGTTTTATGGGTAGGAATATATTTTTTTCTAGTCCATTTTCTGTCAGAAATACCATTTTAGGAACCATGATAATTGTTTTAAAAATGAATTGAGGAATGTAAGTTGGTAAGCAACATTTCTCTCCTTTGCTCACTTCTTTCTTACTTATAAAATGACAGAAAACAGTGTAATAAAAATTTTTATTTATGCTTCACAGCAGGAAAAAGTAATTGAAATAAAAGCTTATCATCAATGTTACCCACAGATATTACTGGGTATCTTCAGGTTGAATTCACATACCAAGTACATACAACTTCCCTCCTTCTTCTTTCTCTCTTCTAATCACACAACATACCAACAAAGTACATCCTGGAGGGGGAAAGATACTAAGAAGAAAGCTTTATAAAAAGTGAAATTTGAGAATATTTTGTCCAACCACCTCATTTTTCCATAAAATAAAACTCTGAAAGAAAATTACTTTCTCAAGGATTTGTAGTGAATTAGTAACCGATTCTAGACTAGAAAAATCCTCACACTATTAGTTCAGTTCTTCTTCCTCTAAACAACATCATTCCTGACAGCTAGTTTTTTCATTAATTCATTCCACACACACATTGTTATTTCTTTTCTACAGTGGAAAGGCTAGATAGAGCTTCCTGAAAGACGTGAAACCCACTCTGGGTCTTCAAAAAATGCAGACAGGTCATAATAATCCCCATGATAATAAAGGCATAGGGTGATATACCAGATAGAGGGAACAAATGTGCAAAGGCTTGGAGTACGAGATTGCCTGGCAACTTGCGTAGGCCACAGGAGGGCAGAGTGAAAGGTGAGGCCCAGGAAGCAGGAGGGGCTAAATCATCAAGGGTCTTGGATGCTTTGCAATGGAATTTTGATAAAGAGCTCTTGAAATTTTTCAGTAGGGAGTCGTGGGGTAGATGGGTGTGTTAACTGATTACACTTTATTTAGAGATATCACTACGGTAGCAGTGCAGAGGACAGGCAAAGAAATCAGATAGAAGATGGTTATAGTAACTGAAACAAGAGATCATAAACACAGTATAAATCTCACCCTCATTATTCATGTTCTTCCAAAGAAAGTGTGGGCATCAGCCAGATGAACCACAACAATGCAAGTCCACAGATCCTTAGCCCATGAATGAGCTTCAGGAATACCTAAGCCCCAAAAGTGAAACACATCTGGTACATACGAGTATTTGTATTTCTGATGAGAGAGATCGGTATCATATTCTCAAAGGAACAAGACATCCACATTTTAAACAACTACTGCACTAAAAGCCTGAAAGAGTTGAGGCAGTTTCCCCAGTGCCTATTCCCACCTAGGAAAACCAGCCTTCCTGGATAATTGCCTCAGGCCTTCTACATAGAAGAAAAATTGTTTTTTGAGACACATATCTTTTGGCTAAAATTGATGTAGCAGATTTGTAACTCTGCAGAAGCAGTAGTAATTATCATAAGTCTCCCGGAAGAATTTGAGCAGTAATTCATAAAATTTTAGAGATACAGTCTGTTGGTGATAGAGGTGAAGAAGTGTTGAAAAATGCACATTTGGTTGGCACCCCTTGATATAATCAGGAGTTGCTGGAATTTCGGAGACACAACATAGTAACAGAGTCCTATTTAGCCTAACTTTTCCTTTCAATTATTGGGCTGTATTCTACATTTCTATGACTGCTTACTTCTGAGGAACCAGGAGGCTATGTTTTTTAGAAAAGAGTAAAGAAAGTCAACAGTACAAGACAGTGTCATGGCTTAATCTGGACTGTGTAATATTCCTGCATACACTGGTTTATAATATAATATAATTGTCAACATCTAGGTTACCTGACCCTTAGTTAGGAAAAAACAATTCAATGTTCATTTGTTTGGTATTGGTATGTAGTACTAAGTGTTGCCTCCCGCATACTGCAGAAATTTAGAAAAAAGATCAGTGATACAAAACACAGAGTAGGGCATAAATGTTATCTTCCAGATGTTATGGGCTTATAGATTGCTTCCTATGCAATAAATTCTCAGTACTAAAATTGTGACTGTAGTGTTTTAAATATATCTTGTTTTCAATATATTAGGGAAATAACACCTATTAGTGCTAAGACTTTACTTTTATTCTACTTTATTTTTGCTTAAATAATTATACATACATATTTATGTTTACACACACATATAGTATATCATATAGATTACAAAGCAAAATTTTATCATGAATATTCAACCCAAAGACTAGAATATTGCCCAAATTTACATCTACCTATGTATTCCTTTCTTATCTCATCCCCTTTTCTCTCTTCAGAGGTAACCATTATTCTAAATTTTCTATTTAATATTCACTTGGTTTCTAATAAAATACCTATGTCATATATATCCTAACAATAATTTCCTGTGTTTCACTTATTTTAAAGCTTTATAAAATGGTATTAAATATATGTAGTTTTCTGGGACTTTCTCTTTTCACTCAGCATTATGTTTATTTCTCATCAGTGCATAATATTCCATTTGGTGAATATTCTGCAATCTATTCATCCATTCCTTTGTAAAATTCTACTTGGAATTTTACTGTTTCCAAAATAAATGTTACGAAAATCTCTTCATTGCATTTTTGCAGATAACTTATAAATCTCATTTTCCCAAGTAGCTGGGATTACAGGTGTGTGCTGCCATGCCCAGCTAATTTTTTTATTTTTTGTAGAGACGGGGTTTCGTCATGTTGCCCAGGCTGGTCTCAAACTCCTGGGTTCAAGCAATCTGCACTAAAAATGACAGTGTCTTGCCTCTGAATCTATCCATCTATATCTATATCTATATCTGTATCTGTATCTGTATCTGTATCTGTATCTGTATCTATATCTATATCTACATCTACATCTATATCTATATCTATATCTATATCTGTAATATATATCATCCAGTTGCCATGCATCCTGGGTGGTGCATACTACAGCCTTCCTAGAGAAAGATGTATTATATCACAGGTCAAGACATCTTTTTTTCAAGAAATGTTTTTGGATCTAAAAAAAAAATTATTCTTCTTCACTGGCTGGGCCAGCAATAGTGTGTTTTTTTTTTTTAAATCAGCAGCATTAAAATATTTTTATTATCTATAAATCCCCAGTGCACAGGGAGGGGCTTTGGCTCCCTCCTCTGTCTTGTTTGCTTGGAGATTGTGGATTGGATGTGAAAGAGCAATGCCCTTCAGTACATTGGTCATTTTTATGAGAGTATTTTGGAAAAAGTGTTTACACCAGGCTTATATCATATGCATGAAAAAACACTCACGTATATTTACACACACATTTATGTAAGTACACACGTACATATGCATATATTTATAATCTCTGGCCATAGCATGTTCAGTACACTATTACCACCCTTGTGAGAATTATGTGTAACATGGGACCTGAGTAGTTTTTAAATTCCTGACCTGATCCTTACTATTTAACTTTAAACCAAATTCTAGATACTAAGCAACACTCAAAGTTGAATCTTCAGTGACATCACAACTCTTGCATTATGAAATAGTGTTTGTAAAATTACAGAATATTTTGAAGAATACTTTGGTTCTTAGAAATATTTAAGGAGATAATATAACCAAATGTAACAATGCAAAAATATTATCAATGACTAACTCTGCATCCACACTACCATTGTTATAAGCAATAGCACGGCTGTTATTTTTGAGTAAATTGATGGTGATCACAAATTTTAAAAATTGAACCTGAAAAAGGTGATAGATATTTGTCCATCCATGAACATGCTCATGAGCAGACATAATTACATTATGGTTGCATTTTCCAGGCACTGAAATTTTGTTTTCTGGCATATCAGCACATGTTTAAAGCTTGCATACATGCTCATACACACATACAGTATACTAATAGTTTGTTTAAACCGATGGCAGTATGGTGAATTGGCACCTACTAGAATAGCATTTGACAATACCACCAGAAGAGACACTGACAGTGCTATGAAGCTGTTCAAGGGATAGACTGAGTTCCAAAATAAATATTTTAAAAATCTCAGAAAACTGTCCTGCAATGTAGCTGCTAAATAATTCATTACATTTATTGTATCTCCTTTTCTAGTGTTAGATATTTTGATACCATGCTAAAACTATCAATCTGAAATTACATACATCCCAGTCACTTAAAATTTTCAACAAGTTTATTTCGTTTATTCATAGGGCATTGTAACATATATTGGTGGTATTGGTATATGCTTTCATGGGAAAATGTAGTGCTATTACAAGTAACTTTATCCATAAAGAAAATACAAGCTAACAAATGGGACAGGTTTGTCTGCCTACCCATTACCTCCTCTTTTTGGGAGACATGGTTCTATCCGTTATTACAGAGATATACACACAATCTATTGTACTGTATCTTTGTCATCAGCATTTACATCAACTAAAAAAGCAAGCAAACACACACCCTTGATACTACAGTGCCATCAAGCTATAGTCATATTTCTTTTTTGTCCTTCACAAAAAGGCCATGTTGTCCCCAACTGTCTCACATCCCATTAATTATTACAAATGTTCTTTTGTCTTTCTCTGTGTTTTTAGGGGGTGTAGTCTCACTCTGTCATCCAGGCTAGAGTGCAGTGGCATTATCACTGCTCACTGCAGCCTCCGCCACCTGGGCTCAGGTGATCCTCCCACCTCAGCCTCCCAAGTAACTGGGACTACAGGTGTGCACTGCCATGCCTAGCAACTTTTGTATTTGTTGTAGACACGGGGTTTTGCCATGTTGCCCAGGCTGGTCTCGAACTCCTGGGCTCAAGCCATCTGCCTGCCTTGGCCTCCCAAAGTGCTGGGATTACAGGAGTGAGCCACTGTGCCTGACCCTTCTAAATGTTCTTTCAATAAATTATTTTAAATTTGAATTATAAAAGATTTCCTCCACTTCACAATTTGTCCCTCTCTAAGCTGGCTTATATACAGCATCATTCCATTGGCATGTTTCTGGCTAAATTTGCCAGTGATCAGCATATTGCCAAATTCACATTTATCAATCCTCATTTTATTTTACCTCTAAGCAGCTTTCAGTGCAGTTGCTTTTGCCTTTCTTCTTGCAATAGTTTCCTCACTATCTTTCTTGACACCACTTTTGCATGATGTTAGTCCTCTTTCTGTCTGCTCCTCAGTTTCTTTTTGTGGCCTCCCAATTTGTGAATGTGTGAGTTTCTCCAAGCCTCATTTCAGGGTCCTCATTCCTTTTCATGTTCTATTGCCTTATTAGGCTTATTTCACCCAATTATCTGGTTTTATAGACCATCTATAACCCAAGACATTGCATTTTCCTCTTCAGCTTTTTTCTGAGCTCCAGATTCCGATTTCCAGTTGTTTATGTGACATATCCCCTTGGATCCTGTGGATTATAGATACAATCCCTTTAATATCTACCTCCATCACTAACCACAGAAACTACCTGAGTTTCAATGTTAAGACTATTTGGACCATTGAAGATTTCCATGCGGGAAGACAGCTAAAAGCAGTGTGCATTTCTGAGAGTAAATAACAATGGCTTTGATAGAAAAAAAAAAAGGAAGAACATTTTTCTTCTCAGTGCAACTCTACTATTTTCCTTCCTCCTTCTCATAATGTTCAGCTAGGATTCTAATGAATTTTAAAAACAATTAATGGATCAAGCAATAATGGAACCTCTCGTCATGTTTATATCTTTTGCATTTGGAGAACATATTGGGAAAGTTGAGAACAAATGCCTCCCTGACAAAATACAGGGACACAGATGCAGAACATATTGCAGACATCACCCCCACCCCCATCGAGAGAGAGAGAGAGAGAGAGAGAGAGAACAGGAGAAAAAGACAAACATGATAGAAATTGTATGAAGTTGGAAGGTAGAAATCCAGAGAAGAAAAGGTAGCATATCCGTGGAAAAACAAAATATTGGTGTGAGTCAAAAATAAATCTGAGAGGCCATTTCCTTAATTTTGCTCTCTAGCTTTGTGCTCCTTGGCCTAAGAACAGGTCTTTCCAAATTCATTGCTATGTGGATGTTGTTGTATCCTGCCTCCTTATTACTAACTTTGGGTCTTGGCATGTCTGTTAGACCAGCTTTAGACTTCTGACTTTTTTATGTCAGCAATGTCCTTCATACTGTCCAGATCTCTGAATTTGTTCACAGTTTCTCATGGCTGATATTCTTGTGGGGTGCCTGGTCCCTTCTCTGATTCTCAGAGTCCCAAATCTTATCTTTGTTAGGGTGAAGAGGAAGTCAGAAAGATACTTTGTGACTTCTCTGTAGTGCTGAGATGCCAGAAAATATAATAGTTTCCAGCCAAGGGAGGTTACTAGGTAGATACATCAGAAAAGACACATAGTCAATCTAGAGAAGTGCAGCCAGATGAAGACTTAGATGGATATTAAGAGTGACTGTGGGCTTGAATCGTTTTCCTCTTCATGGGGATCCATATATAAAGCATGTCTGCACTGAAATTCTAACTGTGGCAGAGGATGTCTGACTCAATTGTTCTCTTTTTGTTAGTATATGTGACTAAGAGAAACAAGTATAAAAACTCAAAAGAGCTGCAAGGAGGCCGGAAGACATTAGGGAATGGCAGAAAATCATTACGATAGTGGATTCCACTCCCAGCCCCCACCGCAGCCACCATTTTCAAACTAAACTATGGTGGTGTTTATAGTTTGAAATGATCTGAAGGCCCTAGGGTCTTCTACTGATTCATTTTGAATCATGCTATTAATATGATCACATAATTATATCCGAATTAAAAATATCTTAAGGAAAGATGCTGTTTAGTTCAACTGAATGTATCCAATGTGGATTGTGTGCCTGCTGCATTGCAGTAAGTACTAGGGAAGCCTCGGAGGTCAAGACCAATACCATCCCTGCACTGATGAAGCTCACCGTCCAATCTACAAGAGCGTATTTAAGATGTGATTTTTAGAGAGACTTCAGTTAACAAAAAAATGCAAGTCAGATGAACAGTGACATAAAAATGACTCGGCCGGGCACTGTGGCTCACCCCAGTAATCCCAGCACTTTGGGAGGCCAAGGCGGGTGGATCATCTGAGGTCAGGAGTTTGAGACCAGCCTGGCCAACATGGTGGAACCCCATCTCTATTAAAGATACAAAAATTAGCCAGGAGTGGTTGGGGGCTCCTGTAAGCCCAGCTACTCGGGAGGCTGAGGCAGGAGAATTGCTTGAACCCAGGAGGCAGAGGTTTCAGTGAGCCAAGATTGCACCATTGCACTTCAGCCTGGGCGACAAGAACGAAACTCCATCTCAAACAAACAAACAAACAAACAAAAAATGGCTCTAGGATTTATTAGTGACTATTAGATTCCTTACACTCTCTTGGAGAGTCATGGCTTAGATTATCATGTTGGAAGCTCTAAAGAGGAAAAAAACAACTATTTGATTTGATAAAGGCTTTTGAGGATAAAGAGCTATTTTGATGTGTGACAGAATCTGCATTTCATTTAGTTTTGTTGTCTTGTTTTGTTTTTACAGCATATCAATACAGAATGTATTTCTTTCCTTTCTTTTCCTTTTTTTTTTTTTTTTTTTTTTTTGAGACAGGACCTTGCTCTGTTGCCCAGGCTGGAGTGCAGTGGTGTGATCAAGACTCACTGCAGTCTCAACCTCCCAAGATCAAGCAATCCTCCCACCTCAGCCTCGTGAGTGGCTGGGACTACAGGTGTGCACAACCATGCATGGCTAAGTTTTTTTTTTTCTTTTGATAGAGATGAGGTTTTGCTATGTTGCCCAGGCTGGTCTCGAACTCCTGGGCTCAAGCGATCTCCCCTGCTCAACCTCCCAAAGTGCTGGGATTACAGATGTGAACCACCGCAACCAGCCTACAGAGTACATTTCTATGGGGAAGTTTATGCTGTAATTTAAATAAAGTTGTTAAGAATGAAATGTGCATCAGACTTTGATTACATGATTTGATTCCTCCAAATATTGCAAACTCCTGAGTCCAGGTGGCACCACACTAATCCAGAGACTTCTGGTTTCTTTGTCATGGTTATAGTTGTATTTGGTGCTGTTTGTTCAAGGCATGTTAAGAGAATGAGCTGTGTTCTCTAGGTTTGAGTGAGTCTTAAGCTCACATATTTATTTCTCTATGTTGGTATATGATGGTCTTTGTTGTGGAATAAGATAATTCAAAAGGGAGAAATATCGACAATACAGTATATAGATCAAATGGAGCAAGATATTTGCTTCATCTCTCATCTGGAGCTCCCAGCATGCAAGGTAAAAAGTGAGAAGGCAGCACCATTAAAGTGTATTCAAAAGGTTGAGAGAAGGGAATGGGAAAAGAGACATGTGGAGTAGAAAAATAAGTATGTGTTTAATGGCAGGATGTCCTGGATTGGAAGGACATGCATTTTACACTTTACATAGGAGAAGGTGGAGAACAAGACAAATGACTGAAGATTATTTTAATAAACATCTATTGAGCAATTACAATGAGAAATACCAGGGATGCCATAGAGCAGAAACTGATACAGAAGCAAGAAACAGATTTTCTCCTCTCCATGTGTTCCTGGAGAGAATGAGAGAAGAGTCCAGCAATGACATCTGAGTCCTTTTTACAGCCTGTGCTCCTAGCCTATTGCCTAGTTAGAGAGGATACTGAAAATATATGCTTTTTTCATTTGGGTAGAGTTTATTAAAATTGAAATAATTTCAAGTCTAACTGTTTTTGCTAATGTGAGTCACATATTTCTAATTGAATCCACTGACCTGGCCACACAGACAGGTCAGCAAATGAAAAGGAAGTTAGCGTTTGGTAACTGCTTAGAGAATCATATTCTACTGTGCCAGAAAAATGTGAGTATCATTGACATATGGTTTATCTTTTAATTCTTACAACAAGCTTAGAGTACCTATTGTTTTATTTCCCAAGATCAGGAATCCAAGGCTCTGAGAAATTAACTGACTCAAGGTAATACAAATAGTAAGTGGAAAACACATGTCTTCAATCCAATAAGTAGAGACTTGTCATTGAAACTTGGGTCAGTATCATGTGCTTATTTCACATTGCATGCCTGTATCAAAACACCTCATGTACCCCATAAATACATACCTACAATGTACCCACAAAATTTAAAAAGAAATTAATGAAAAGCATAAATAAATTCTGAATCCCCAACCCATAAATTTTATTCTAGTTAGTGAAATAAGAAAAAAAAATCCTACATATATACAGTGAGCAAGCACAACGAAAATAGAGAATGGTGCTAAATTATTCATACTAGACAACTGCATTCTAGACTTTCAGAGAAGAATGGTGTGTGTGTGTGTGTGTGTGTGTGTGTGTGTGTGTGTGTGTGTGTGTGTGAAGCATTATCCTTGGTACTCACTTCATTAGCCATAATCATGCATAAGTCACAAGGATATAGGAAATCAAAGTTCGTTAAAAACGCACACTGGCTGCAACTAACCATATGTCCAGTAGAGGGAGCCTACATATCACAATTGAGAGTCCGGCCACAGCAGGTCCAAAATCCTGTTTTTGAAGGGAGCCCTGAGAGATCCGGGAAAACAAATTATCTTCAAGAGTATTTTGGAGGAAGAATCGCTCTGATTTCAAAGAAGCTCACTACCTATATGCAAAGAAAAATGCATATTATTTGCTCATTTCCTGAAGTCACGGAAATCCAGTGGAGTGTCAGATGTTGCCTCTGATTCATTGTATTTTTCAAAGGCTAGAAATGGTCAGTGTTGTCTTGGCCATTGTTGAGGCATTTTCTCCCCAGGCTGTGCTGTGGCATCTCCTGGCCTCATTAATATAGTGGCTGATGGTACCTACTAACCTTCAATGGGTCGCCTCCTACCTATTCTCATTTCATTAGCTTTTTGAAGGACAGGGTAGACTAGATCAAGAAAAGAGATAAAAAGAAATAGTACATATTCACACTTATGTAATTACATCCCCTTCCATGGAAACTTGGGAATAAAGAGGTATTTCAAGGTCATGTAGAAAAAGTAAACCTTAGTTTATTATTTTTAGATTCGTTTTACCTAACACATTCTCTGATAACTGAAGGGGGGAGAGAGGGAAATGGAGAGAGAATGCATTTTTTTAGCCTGCCTTTAAAGGTATTTATTATTATTATTATCTATATTTATTTTTAAAGTTATTCTCATAAAATCTATTTCCTTATAGCAAGCCCCCATTTTTTCCTCTGATTTTTAAGAAATTTTTCTCTCTATTTCTCTCTTCCACATTTTCCTCTCTTTCATTTTCTTTCCCTTCTCCTCTATAGTATCTATTATTTCTCCTCTTTTAAAAACTGTGTCATGTTCCCCGAGGCATTCTTCCATTTCACACACGGATTAACTTAGTCAGCTTTTTTACACAAGCTGCCAGTCTTCTGAAAGTATCCCCATTATACTGCATCAGTTCCATATGATTTGAAAAACAGTGTGAGGAGGACATACCATACCCAAATCCCACTTCTCATTCTAAAGAAGGTGTACTCTGTCTAAAAGGAAGAAGTAGCTGGATCCAAAGGCTTCTGGGCTCAGCTGGGAGACCAAATGATGGCTGTGACATTTATCTTACAAAGTGGGAAAACTCATGGAACCAAGTGGGAAACAGACACATTGACGCTGGGATTTTAAGTGCATGAACCAGGAGAGGAAGAGACAGTAGAACAATTAAGGGCAAAAGAGGGTAAGAATGTAGGTCTGGTTGTTACTGGGGAAAAGAAATGCTGGTGGTAAGGTTAAAGCTGGTGTAAGAGTGCTAACTCTAACTAATTGTGTTACTTGGGTTAGATCACTTAACAATTCTCCAAACCTCATTTTCCCTATCTATATAATAGGAATAAAAATTTTCACATCCACATGTTTGCCACGAGAATAAAATGAGCAATAGATAGAAAGATGCATATTAAAGAACTTAAATGTGACTAAGAATGTAGTTTTGGAAAATGCCGTAATGAGGTAGGGAGGGCATCGGCTTTGTAATCTGAGATTCTGGTCTCTGCTACTTCACTTTCCAGACATTTAACCTCGGCAGAGCTTAGAGGAAGATGCAAAGCTTTTAAACCCAAGTTATGCTTCTGACCTGCTGTGTGATCTTGGATAAGTCATATAAACTTTTGAATTTCTATCTCTGGAATAGAAATTATTTGGAAAATGAGCATAAGTAGTTTCTATTTTAAAGTTGATGAGACTGAATATGATGATCTATGTTGAAGAGCACTGCAGTCAGAGAGGCTCTTTGTCACCTCTTCTATTTTCCTAGCACCATAAAGCCTTTTTGCCCCTCTTGCTAGGGTCTCAATTGATTTAACTCTCCTAACTTCAACCAGGCATTCAGCATGCTCCTTGCTGTAATAAGAACTTTCCAAAAATACAGTCTTTGTTCTAGCCATTGTTTAGTTTATTGTTCCTTCATCGATTTTTTGCTGTATGCAATGTACTAGTACCCAAGCTTGGAGCAAAATCACCTGTCACGTACTACTCTCCTGGCCTGACTCATATTATATCCTGGAGGAAGACACAAATGCTATTACACCCCTGGCTCATGTAAAATCCTTCTAGCCCCACTTCCAAAGAGCACCCTTACTTTATCTCTAATAAATGCTCTAGGACTCTCACTGCAAAGGCTACTGCAGAACTTCCTTCTCCATGTCCCAATAAGCACTTTTAATTGATCTTGATTCCCACTTCACTGAAACAATAGAAGCCATCTGGTGTGACCACCTCCTCTTTACAAAGCTTTGCCACTTTTGTTGCCAAAAATACATGCTTTCCTATTCTCATCTTAATCTTTGACCATTTCTTCTCTTTCTCCTTTGTCTTCTGGACATTCCTGAAGACTTAGTCATATGTGCTTCTAGTCTTCTAGCTTTTCTCAAATGTTGTATGTAGTAAATACATCCGTTCCTGTAGAGTTAACAATCACTTTTGTCCACATGAGTTAAAGTCAGTATCTTTGGTTTGCTCTCTTTTACAAGCTCCAGTTTTTCATATCCAGCTGCCCTCTGGACATTTCAAGATTACTCTGTGTTGGTTAGAACATGGTATGGAAAAACAAAAAATGCATTACCCCTTTCTTTGAAAGTGTATTATTTTTTCCAGTGCCACTATAACAAATTTAGCAGATTAAGACAACATAATTATATTAGCTCACAGTTTTGTAGGTAAGAAAGTCAACACAGCGTGGTTGGATTCTCTGCTCAGAGTCTTAGCAAACTATAATCAACGTATCTGCTGGGCTGTGGTTCTCATCTGGGGCTTGTGAGCCTCTTTCAATCTCACTGGGTAGAATAATCATTTTCTTCTCAGGCTTTCCATGTGACCCTTTTTATGTTCAAGTCAGCAATGGTGGGTAGAGCCCATCTCATGCTTCCAATCTCTCTGATGTCCTTTTCTGCTCTTAAAGATTCATTTGCTTACATTAGCCCTAACTGGGTAATCCAGGATAATCTCCTTATTTTAAGATCAATTTACTAGTAATATTAATTATTAAAACATTGCCATTAAAAGTAATGGCAAAAATCGCAATTACTTTTGCACCAAACTAATACAGTTTCAAAGTCCCTTTTGCCATACAAAGTAATACAGTCACAATCCTGAAGATCAGAATGTGGAATATGATTGAGGGTCATAATTTTTCCTACCAAACACATTACTGAAGACACATCTGCCACAGAAGACCAGAGCTGAAAGAAATATTAGGGACCACCTTGTCCAATCTATTTTCTAGGTGAGGAAAATTGAGATCCAGTTAGTAAATAGACATCTCAAGGTTACCTGCCATTTAGTGACAACATTGGTGCTCTTTTTGCTCCTTCTCAAGTGCAGCACTTGCCGTACTTTCATTTATTCTCATTAATTTCATTTCTTAAAAACCTTGCCATTTTTATTTATCCTGTTGAAGTTATATTTAATCATGAGTCTTCCATCTATTGTACCAACTATCTAACTAAGTTTCGAGTTTTTATTGACTAAAACTGCTAATAAAAATCTTAACAAAAGATAATAAAAATATTCATGGAGATCTGAATGAAGCAACTGGAGGGAAATTAGAAGGCAGCATGTGAATAGTAGTACATATGTACATATAAGTACGTGTACAATTACATACACAAAGAGAATGTAGAATGAAGAGTGTTTAGTTGACAAAAAAATGAGTCTTAAACATCTCCCTTGAGATGAGTTATGAAGGAAGATAACAATACATTGGCAGAAGGTAATGAACGTGTTACTATGAATGGAGAAGGCACAGATGTGAAAGCTGATTAAGTCAAGAGCATGAAACAGATTGGATTTTATTTTCTGGAATGGAAGCCCCTTTTGAGAAATGATGGGTAAGGTTGACTAGATAAGAAGGAATCATTTTCTAGAAGGCTTTGGATCTAAGTCCAGAGGAAGGCACATAGATTGGTTTTTAGAAAAGTAGGCTGAACAGTATATTCTGGTTGGCCATTTGTCAGCTATATGTAACATGGAGAGAGACTCCAGTGAGAACCAACCAAGAAGTCATTGCAGAACTCCAGATTTAAATTATGAAACGTGGGAGGGCAGTGGTAATGAAAAAGAATGGGAAATCAGGGAAACGAGGAATGAGAAAAAAGGATTTGTTGACTGAATGTGGTGCACATATGAAAGAAAGTAGTTCAAGTACAGGGTTTTCAGTCCAGAAGATCTGGGACATGTATGTGACAACACCAGACATGGGGAAGTTAGAAAGATGGCTGTTTTTGTTTTGTTTTGTTTCGTTTTTCTTATCTATGGGACCTCATTCTAAGGCTGTCATACACAAAATAGAAGAACTGTAATAAATGTAGGCAATTACACAAGTTATCACTCCTACTCTGTTTTCATTTTATTTCCCATAAGAAGACTGTTATTTATTTTATAATTGGGAGGCCAATAGGCTGAGATGGCTCCAGCATCTTGAGTTCCTACACAAGCAAACTGAGGCCCAATACAAACAGTAAAAAATACCTTAAGCTGACCCAGTCAGAAACCACCAACTAACCACCACCCAGAGACTTTCCACTCTAACCAATCAAATTATTTTCTTTGGCTTGCTTCTATAGACACCTAAAAGTTTTCTCCTTCTTCCTCCTCCCCCAGTGAAGTGCTGAACCACGTGCAGTCTAATGATGCTCAATTCATGAATTGTTGAATGTTCAAATAAACTCACTAAAGTTTTAATGTACCTAAGTTTATCTTTCAACAAGACCAATTGTTTATTAAAAAATCATTAAAGGATGAAATAATTATTTGGACTTTGTTGTGTGTGAGGAGGTTTTTAATATAAATGAAATTAATGCTTGAAAAACTTTATGGAAAAAAGACCAGAAACTAAGACTTACCTTTCTAGATGTCTTGCTAAATTTTAATTTGTAGACATTTTTTTTCTTAAATTCCTTTCTCATGGCTGCCCTGAAACTCTCACGTTCTTATTCCAAGCAATGCCTATTCTTTTCTTGTTAATATCACCTTAACTGCATTTCCATGGGATTGACCAGGATATTGGGATAAACTGACTTCATCCATTGTTTTTAGTAATTTGACAAAAGCTGCAAAAGTGCAAATGACTGGATATAAAAATGTTCCTGAGGTAGGATGAGAGTTAGAAAATGCTTATTTCTATTCCCATTCACCTGTTTATTGTAATATACTAGTCAATTGGCCTCTGGTTTCCACCCCCTCTATTCCTTTAAATTAAATTTCCTAAAAACCGCACTTCGGTAATATGACTTTGGTTAAAAAATATCAAACAACTTTTAGTTGCTCCTCATTGCAGAGAGTACATGACTCCAGTTCTTAATGTGGTCAACTTTCTGATACATCATTTTTGTTTTTTTTCCCAGTATTTTTTTTTAACCGTTTAATTTCTTCTTTGAAGCAAGTAATCTGGCATGTACCTGCTTTGTTTCAGGGGAGGTCTTTGGCAGTGAGGCAATCAGAAGTTGCCCTCAAAGTACGATTTTCCCTGGCTTTTGTTTTCTAAAAGGCAGAGAAGTTTGGAATAAACATCTTAGGGGAAAAAAGCTAAAAAGTAAGAGATGTGTATAATATGCAGTGCTTTTAATTTATGTTGAGGTCGGTGTGAATTTAGGATTAGGTATGATGGTTTTAGGTTTTTAATATAGATGAAATTAAGGCTTGAAAGGTGGCTCACGCCTGTAATCCCAGCACTTTGGGAGGCCGAGGCAGGTGGATCACGAGGTCAGGAGATCGAGACCATCCTGGCTAACACAGTGAAACGCCGTCTCTACTAAAAATACAAAAAATTAGCCAGGCGCGGTGGCGGGCGCCTGTAATCCCAGCTACTTGGGAGGCTGAGGCAGGAGAACAGCGTGAACCTGGGAGGCAGAGCTTGCAGGGAGCCGAGATAGCGCCACTGCACTCCAGCCTGGGTGAAAGAGCGAGACTCTGTCTCAAAAAAATAAAAAATAAAAAATAAAAAATATTTTGTTCCAAAAAAAAAACCAGAGCCAAAAATAATTTTTCTTGTGTAGTCAAAAATTACTCTTACCCGGATGACTTAAATAATTATCTCCAGCTTTGATATCTCATACAATCTCCAGTCCTTCACATCCAGCTGCCCACTACACAATTCCTTTTCCTTCTCCTCCTTTTCCTCCTCCTTCTTTATTTTTCATAGACATCTTTGACCAATTTTCAGAAGTATATTTCTATTCCTAACTTGCTACATTATTTTTTTATAATGGAACGTTTAATTTGATCATAATGCTGTTACTATGTTTATTGAGGTAATCACATACTTGTCCTTTTGTCTGTGAATGAAGTAAATTAAATATACAGATTTTTCTAATAATGTGTGACCCCTTGATACCTGATATAAAATCAACTAGGTTCTGGTGCATTATGTTTTTCACACATTTATGCATTTTTTTATTAGTGTCTTGTTTAGGATTTTTGTCTCTACATTTATTATTGAGATTGTTTTAGACGTTTCCTTTCTAATGTGATCCTTGCTTGGTTTTGGTTTCTGTGTTATTCTAGCCTCATAAAATCAGGCAAGTTTTCTCTGTTTCTATTCACTGGAAATAATTTTCATAATGTTAGAATCACTTCTTAAAAGTTTGTTAGAACCTTCTATGGAATTGTGTAAGTTAAATCTTTTCTTTGTAGAAAGATTTTTAACTGCTGAGTCTCTTTTTTAATGATTGATAATAAAAGTATCATAGCCCTGTAGTTCTTCTTAAATCAGTTTTGACATGTTGTATTGTAAAGGATGTGTCGTTTTCTTAAATTTTCAAATTTACTGAACATAAACTTGTTTGTATACTTTTGTTATAATTGTAATCCCTTTATGTCTATTTTCTTTTTACCTTTTTATTATTATTATTATTTTTTGGCAAGGTTTCCCTCTGTTGCTCAGGCTGGAGTGCAGTGTCGCAGTCTTGGCTCACTGCAACCTCCACCTCCTGGGCTCAAGCGATTCTCCTGTCTCAGCCTCCTGAGTAGTTGGGATTACAGTCACATACCACCACGCCCGGCTAATCTTCATATTTTTAATAGAGATGGGGTTTCAACATGTTGGCCAGACTGGTCTCAAACTCCTGATCAGAAGTAACCCACCTGCCTCAGCTTCCCAAAGTGCTGGGATTACAGGTGTGAGCCACTGCACCCGGCCTATTTTATCTATTTTTATTGGTTCTGACAAGTTTCTATTTGTTAGCCCTTTCACAGTAATACATGCTACTTTTTTTTTTTTTTTGAGATGCAGTCTCACTCTGTGGCCCAGGCTGGAGTGCAGTGGCGCAGTCTCGGCTCACTGCAAGCTCCGCCTCCCGGATTCATACCATTCTCCCGCCTCAGTCTCCTGAGTAGCTGGGACTACAGGTGCCCGCCACCACGCCCGGCTAATTTTTTGTATTTTTAGTAGAGACGGGGTTTCACCGTGTTAGCCAGGATGGTCTCGATCTCCTGACCTCGTGATCTGCCCGCCTCGGTCTCCCAAAGTGCTGGGATTACAGGCGTGAGCCACCGTGCCCGGACTGTTTTTATTTTATCTTACTTCTTACTTTGTTAATTTATTCTACCGTATTTAAAATTTTTTTCTTACTATTCTCTTTGAGTTTATTCTGATGTTGTTTTTATACATTTTTGAAGAGGACAGTTAGCTCACATTTTTAAAGAATGTCCTTATAATTTATCTGGAATGTAGTTGTATTATAGTCAGCAGGTCTATTCATGTGTCTGGTTTTCCATACTGTCCAAATGGAAGAATTCTTAGAAGTAAATTTCTTGAGCAATGAAGGCAAAGGAGCAGCTGTATTCTAGGTATTCTGACCACACCTGAAATATCACGTTTAGTTGTGTATGTAGTTTGAAAGAGACATTAACAAATGTAAGATGTATACTCTTAAAAGTAAACAGGGTGGTGGGATATTTGAAATTCATGACATATCAGGAAATACTAAAATCACTGTTGATATTGGACCTAAAAATTAGAATTTGGGGTTGGGTTGGGGATAGAAAGTCTTCAAATTTTTGAAGTTCTGTAGAATGACAGATTGAATTAATTTTTTTCACTTCTAAATGACCGAAAAAAGTTTATCTGAAAAAATTTAGAAACTAGATTGTGATTCAAGAGTTACATAACCACTAATAAGCTCCCTGGTGGCAGAAAATTTATTGTTACAGGAGGTGTTCAGAGACTGGTCCATTACGTAACTGAATATTGTGGTGGAATATCATGAATGATTTAAAAAGTCGAATGTGATAACTCTAAGCTCCCTTCCCAAATTTGGAACTTTACGATTTTAAGCTTATTGATCATTGAAAAGACATCTTGTATCTCTTTTAGCTTTTGTTTTGACCACATTATCTAAAACATCTTAAATGAGTACTATGAATACTAAAAATGAATTACTGAATGAATAAATCAGCCATAACAGCAGCAAATATGCTATGAATGGCCTTTTGCCTTTTCTGCCTTGTCTATAATTAATGCAGCTATGCACCTTAAAAGAGGTGTGTGTGTGTGTCTGTGTGTGTGTGCATGCACACACATGTGTGTAGTAGACAAGTTGGAGAAGATAATCTGTTAAATTCAAGCACTGGAAGTGATTTCTTATTCAGGGTAAGTAAAATCCTCCAATGCCTCAATTCAGTGACACCCTGGGAATGTTTTATGGATCAGGTTTCATCACTTGTTAGCAGTCGGACTGAAAGGCTGAGCTACTTTTGATGGATGACCCTTCTGAGTCTGTTTTTAAAAGAGCACCCTTGGCTCACCCCTTCTTAACTACTCCATTTATGTGGCATTCTGATAATTTTCCTTCTGCTGGCTCCTGAGTCAGTGTAGGACATCCGCTTTCTTCAGTAAACTTTTGTCTGCCTTCCTGTTTTGGCTGTAAATTATTTACAGGAACTATGAGTCTGCCCATTTTTCAGCTTGTGGACGTCTATTAGATAATTGTATCTTGTGGCCCTTAATTTCAGTTATCATCATCTCATCCCTGGATTACTGCAGTAGCCTCCTAACTAGTCTCTGTGCTTCCAGTTGTATCCTTCTCACCTTCAATCCAATTTCTATCCTACCTCCCAGTGATCTTTCAACAACAAAAATGTTGATGGCACAACTTCCCTGTTTACCCTGCTGCAACACTTGTGCATTACCAGATACAGCCCAAAGTCCTGAGCACACCCTTAGGGAGGCTGCCACCACTCCTCTGCACCCTGCCTTCCTCCCCTGTGTTCTTTCCCACCATTCCCCAACCACAACAGGCTGTAAGATTGTCAGGAGATATTTTATGGTTTTAAAATACTTTACTTCTCTAGGCACAGTGTTAAATTCCAAGAAACCTTTTGGCTCTCTGATTATTCTTTTTTCATAGCAGCATATTTCTTTTTTTTTTTTTTTAAACTTTAAGTTCTAGGGTACATGCGCACAACGTGCAGGTTTGCTACATATGTATACATGTGCCATGTTGGTGTGCTGCACCCATTAACTCGTCATTTACATTAGGTTTATCTCCTAATGCTATGCCTCCCTCCTGCCACCACCGCACGACAGGCCCTGGTGTGTGTTGTTCCCCTTCCTGTGTCCAAGTGTTCTCATTGTTCAGTTCCCACCTATGAGTGAGAACATGCGGTGTTTGGTTTTTTTGTCCTTGAGATAGTTTGCTGAGAATGATGGTTTCCAGCTTCATCCATGTCCCTACAAAGGACATGAACTCATCCTTTTTTATGGCTGCATAGTATTCCATGGTGTATATGTGCCACATTTTCTTAATCCAGTCTATCATTGTTGGACATTTGGGTTGGTTCCAAGTCTTTGCTACTGTGAATAGTGCCACAATGAACATATGTGTGCATGTGTCTTTATAGCAGCGTGATTTATAATCCTTTGGGTATATACCCAGTAATGGGATGGCTGGGTCAAATGGTATTTCTAGTTCTAGATCCTTGAGGAATCACCACACTGTCTTCCACAGTGGTTGAACTAATTTACAGTCCCACTAACAGTGTAAAAGTATTCCTGTTTCTTCACATCCTCTCCAGCACCTGTTGTTTCCTGACTTTTTAATGATCGCCATTCTAACTGGTGTGACATGATATCTCATCATGGTTTTGATTTGCATTTCTCTGACGGCCAGTGACGATGAGCATTTTTTCATGTGTCTCTTGGCTGCATAAATGTCTTCTTTTGAGAAGTATCTGTTCATATCCTTCACCCACTTTTTGATGGGGTTTGATTTTTTCTTATAAATTGGTTTGGGTTCTTTGGATTCTGTATATTAGCCCTCTGTCAGATGAGTGGATTGCAAAAATTTTCTCCCATTCTGTAGGTTGCCTGTTCACTCTGATGGTAGTTTCTTTTACTGCACAGAAGCTCTTTAGTTTAATTAGATCCCATTTGTCAATTTTGGCTTCTGTTGCCATTGCTTTTGGTGTTTTAAACATGAAGTCCTTGCCCATGCCTATGTCCTGAATGGTAATGCCTAAGTTTTCTTCTGGGGTTTTTATGGTTTTAGGTGTGACATTTCAGTCTTTAATCCATCTTGAATTAATTTTTGTATAAGGTGTAAGGAAGGGATGCAGTTTCAGCTTTCTACATATGGCTAGCCAGTTTTCCCAGCACCATTTGTTAAATAGGCAATCCTTCACCCTTTCTTGTTTTTGTCAGGTTTGTCAAAGATCAGATGGTTGTAGATGTGTGGTATTATTTCTGAGGGCTCTGTTCTGTTCCATCGGTCTATATCTCTGTTTTGGTACTGGTACCACGCTGTTTTGGTTCCAGTAGCCTTGTAGTATAGTTTGAAGTCAGGTAGGGTGATGCCTCCAGCTTTGTTCTTTTGGCTTAGGATTGTCTTGGCAATGCGCGCTGTTTCTTGTTTCCATATGAACTTTAAAGTAGTTTTTTCCAATTCCGTGAAGAAAGTCATTGGTAGCTTGATGGGGATGGCATTGAATCTATAAATTACCTTGGGCAATATGGCCATTTTCACCATATTGATTCTTCCTATCTATGAGCATGGAATGTTCTTCCATTTGTTTGTATCCTCTTTTATTTCATTGAGCAGTGGTTTGTAGTTCTCCTTGAAGAGGTCCTTCACATCCCTTGTAAGTTGGATTCCTAGGTATTTTGTTCTTTTTGAAGCAATTGTGAATGGGCGTTCACTCATGATTTGGCTCTCCGTTTGTCTGTTATTGGTGTATAAGAATGCTTGTGATTTTTGCACACTTCATTTTTGCACACTTCATTGCTGAAGTTGTTTATCAGCTTAAGGAGATTTTGGGCTGAGATGATGGGGTTTTCTAAATATATAGTCATGTCATCTGCAAACAAGGACAATTTGACTTCCTCTTTTCCTAATTGAATACCCTTTATTTCTTTCTCCTGCCTGATTGCCCTGGCCAGAACTACCAACACTATGTTTAATAGGAGTAGTGAGAGAGGGCATCCCTGTCTTGTGCCAGTTTTCAAAGGGAATGCTTCCAGTTTTTCCCCTTCAGGGTGATATTGGCTGTGGGTTTGTCACAAATAGCTCTTATTATTTTGAGATACGTCCCATCAATACTTAATTTATTGAGAGTTTTTAGCATGAAGGGCTGTTGAATTTTCTCAAAGGCCTTTTCTGCATCTATTGAGATAGTCATGTGGTTCTTGTCTTTGGTTCTGTTTATATGCTGGATTACATTTATTGATTTGCATATGTTGAACCAGCCTTGCATCCCAGGGATGAAGCCCACTTGATCATGGTGGATAAGTGTTTTGATGTGCTGCTGGATTCGGTTTGCCAGTATTTTATTGAGGATTTTTGCATCAATGTTCATCAAGGATATTGATCTAAAATTGTCTTTTTTTGTTGTGTCTCTGCCAGGCTTTGGTATCAGGATGATGCTGGCCTCATAGAATGAATTAGGGAGGATTCCCCCTTTTTCTATTGATTGGAATAGTTTCAGAAGGAATGGTACCAGGTCCTCCTTGTACCTCTGGTAGAAATCGGCTGTGAATCTGTCTGGTCTTGGACTTTTTTTGGTTGGTAAGCTATTAATTATTGCCTCAATTTCAGAGCCTGTTATCGGTCTATTCAGAGATTCAACTTCTTCTTGGTTTAGTCTTGGGAGGGTGTGTGTGTCCAGGAATTTATCCATTTCTTCTAGATTTTTTAGTTTATTTGCATGGAGGTGTTTATAGTATTCTCCGATGGTAGTTTGTATTTCTGTGGGATCGGTGGTGATATCCCCTTTATCATTTTTTATTGCAGCTATTTGATTCTTCTCTCTTTTCTTCTTTATTAGTCTTACTAGCAGTCTATCAATTTTGTTGATCTTTTCAAAAAAACCAGCTCCTGGATTCATTGAGTTTTTGAAGGTTTTTTGTGTCTCTATTTCCTTCAGCTCTGCTCTGATCTTAGTTATTTCTTGCCTTCTGCTAGGTTTTGAATGTGTTTGCTCTTGCTTCTCTAGTTCTTTTAATTGTGACGTTAGGGTGTCAATTTTAGATCTTTCCTGCTTCCTCTTGTGGGCATTTAGTGCTATAAATTTCTCTCTACACCCTGCTTTAAATGTGTCCCAGAGATTCTGGTATGTTGTGTCTTTGTTCTCATTGGTTTCAAAGAATGTCTTTATTTCTGCCTTCATTTCGTTATGTACCCACTAGTCATTCAGGAGCAGGTTGTTCAGTTTCCATGTAGTTGAGTGGTTTTGAGTGAGTTTCTTAATCCTGAGTTGTAGTTTGATTGCACTGTGGTCTGAGAGACAGTTTGTTATAATTTCTGATTTTTTACATTTGCTGAGGAGAGCTTTACTTCCAACTATGTGGTGAATTTTGGAATAGGTGCGATGTGGTGCTGAGAAGAATGTATTTCCTGTTGATTTGGGGTGGAGAGTTCTGTAGATGTCTCTTAGGTCTGCTTGGTGCAGAGCTGAGTTCAATTCCTGGATATCCTTGTTAACTTTCTGTCTCCTTCATCTGTCTAATGTTGACAGTGGGGTGTTAAAGTCTCCCATTATTATTGTATGGGAATCTAAGTCTCTTTGTAGGTCTCTATGAACTTGCTTTATGAATCTGGATGCTCCTGTATTGGGTGCATATATATTTAGGATAGTTAGCTCTTCTTGTTGAATTGATCCCTTTACCATTATGTAATGGTCTTCTTTGTCTCTTTTGATCTTTGTTGGTTTAAAGTCTGTTTTATCAGAGACTAGGATTGCAACCCCTGCCTTTTTTTTGTTTTCCATTTGCTTGGTAGATCTTCCTCCATCCTTTTATTTTGAGCCTATCTGTGTCTCTGCATGTGAGATGGGTCTCCTGAATGCAGCACACTGGTGGGTCTTGACTTTACCCAATTTGCCAGTCTGTGTCTTTTAATTGGAGCATTTAGTCCATTTACATTTAAGGTTAATATTGTTATGTGTGAATTTGAGCCTGTCATTGTGATGTTAGCTGGTTATTTTGCTTGTTGATGCAGTTTCTTCCTAGCCTCGATGGTCTTCACAATTTGGCATGTTTTTGCAGTGGCTGGTACCGGTTGTTCCTTTCCATATTTAGTGCTTCCTTCAGGCATAGCAGCGTATTTCTGTTTTGTGGATAAAATGTTCTCTGGAATCTTGTTGAAGACAATTGTTTTACATTTCCTTTTTATAATAAGTCTTTTTTCCCTATGGTAATGTTTTTCTTCTTTATTCTTTTTTGGTTGTTTATTTTTTATTCGTATGTAACAGTTGGACATGTTTTAAGAGTACTTGTGATACTTTCATACATGTATACGATGTGTAATGATCAAATAGGTAATTAGGCTGTGCATCACCTCACACATTTATCTTTTCTTTATGTTGGGAATATTATAATTCTCCTCTTTTAGCTATTTTGATATATGCAATAAATTATTATTAACTATAATTTCCCTGTTGTACTGTCAAGTATTGGAACTTATTCCTTTTACACAACTGTGTTTTTGTACCCCTTAGTCAACTTCTCTTTACTTTCCTGCCCACTTCCCTTCCTGCCCCTGGTAACCACTATTCTACTCTCTACCACCATGAAAGGTCTTCAGTTGTTGATAGTGATTCTTCTCTCGGTTTTTGTCGAGGTCTTTGCACAAACTGATCACGGAAATCACACTGGTAATGCCAATTGAGTTTGGTTTAGCGAAAAAAAAAAAGTTTTGCCTCAGGAGAGAATGTTGGAGACATGCACGACAAGGGTGAATCTTAGGCAACAAAGTGTTTTTTTTTTTAAAAAAAAACCTTTTTATTGAATGATCTTAAACTCAGCTCCAGGCCACCATCCTGCCAGGTTGGTCAGGACTCTATCAGCACCTCAGTCATTCTGCGGGCTCATTTTCCTGATTACCTTATACTGCATAATATATTCTCTATATTTCTACAAAAATGGTTTTAATGGATGTCTAATATAGTTAAAGCATTCCTGTTTCAGATCCTCCAATAGCTATATATTGTCAATAAGATGAAATAAATGGTAGACTTTCAGTTTTTCTCCCAATAGCTGTCTTTTCTTTGTTCCTGGACCATTAGTTACTTATCTTCAGAGTATATTTTCTAGCCTCCCTTGAAGCTAGATCAGCCCCTTTGATCAAACTCAAGGCAGTGGGATGATAAATGGAAATGATGTGTACAAGTCAAGGTCACTCCGAGTACAGAGATATTGCTCTGTAATCTGGCCCCTGGTTACTTATCTATTCTCATGTCTTGCCCTTCCTGAAACTTCACATTTTAATAATATCAAGTAAGTTGTATTATGTTGTTGCCTTGCTACTCTATGCTTATCAACTTTTACTCTTTTTGCTCAGCTGATATAAAATACTCTTTGTCCCATTCTTCTTCAACTTTTAGAGCTTTATTTCCTCTAAGAAGTTTTTTTTTTTTTTTTTTTTTTTTTTTTGTCGTCTTCTTTTACCTTCACTCTAGTCTGGGTGAAATACTACCACTGTGAGCTTCCCCCATACCAGATATATTGACATTTCTTATTTATATATCTAGTTTTTCAATTAGGCTAAAAGTTCCTCAAGAAAGCTACTGTGTTGTATCCATACCTGCAACTTTAATACCTACCAAGTTACTTGGCACTTAGTCCATGCTAAACTGAACTGCTTCTTTTATTGACTCTGGCAAATTTTCAGGTGGCAGAGAGCCTGGGACCATTATGATTGGTTAAATACATGTGGCAAGGAGCTGTGGAGAATGACACCCTTCAAGAGGATATCAAGAGTAAATCTTTTTCCATTATAAAGAAAAATATCTTTGGTTATGTGTTTCCATTTCTGTCTGCATTTGACCTTCCAGGTGCATTCTCTCATTCACATATCTTGTTTCTCCCTTATTCTTTGTCCACATTCTCTTACTTTATTCTTCCTTTTGCAGAACATGCTGCCCTCACACTTCAAACTTGGATATTTCAGGTTTTCTTTTCATCACTGTTTCATGAAGTGTCACAATTCCACTGGGTCAGATAAAGCAATATAATTCTAATGTTATTTGCCTTAAGTCCAGAGGAGTGATAGGATTGGTTAGGTGACATTTTGTTGAAGACAGAGTAGGAGAAATGTTTGGGGGAAAAAATTCCCGATATGGCATAATATCATAATGTCCACTCATAATTGCTAAATGACAATTGTCATTTGCTTTTATATCAGATATCTAATTAATCAAACTTTCTGGTTAAGTGCCTCCAATTATTAACAATCCTGCTCAGAGTTAAGATTAGCATCCAAGGATTTTCCTCCATATTTCTTTTCAGAGGCAATGGAATTTACTAGTTTTTTAGCTCTTCAACTTTGGCTGATGGTTTTAGTGGTGGTTATGCTATCTTCAGTAGTTTGGGGATCTAAGGCATATCTTTATCTTCACACAATAGAGACTGCGTAAATCTAACTTTTCTATATATAAATTTTACAATAAAATTTTTAATTTACGCAACATTTACTTATTGAGAAACTGCTAAATGTATGCTTTGACTTATTCCATAAGTTCTTACTATTTTTCTCCAACCCTGCCTCGCCTTTTTTTTTTTTTTTTTTTTAATTCTTGTCTGGCAGTCTGCAGCTGTCCTCAGAGTCCCTGCTAAACTCCAGATCTCTCTCTCTCTCTCCCCCCTTTTTTTTTTTCTTCTCACAATGCGGTCTTGGTTATTTGACTTGATATCCTCAGCTCTAACTTGCTCATAAGTTATTGCCCTGGCCAGGCTTTGGGGCACACTACTTGCCTTAGTGATGAATGCAGAGGCTTATTCCTTCCATTCAAGGTTTGAGTTAGATTTTAGGGTTGAAGGTTTGCCTTTCAAAGAACAAGTCTTAACAGGGATTCTAATGCCTACAAGTCTCTAAACCTATGGAGAACATTTCCCTCTTTCCTGCATGCATTGAGATAAAACTCCTTTCTTTCCTTTTATTCCATTGCTTTCCCTCTTGTGTGGATCTGTAATGATTGCTGGAGTGCTGGGAATTCATGCTAATAATGAGTTCTCAAGTGCGACTTTTCCTTTTTCTTCTCCTTTCCTTCTATTTTTTTTTCCTTGAGTGTCTAGATCTGAAAAGAATAATTTATCAAATCATTTTTATTCAACTTTGGAGGAATAAGAAAGAGGAATGAGGAGAGAGAAGCCCTTTTGCAGTTTCAATTGCTTGCAGTGTATGCATGAGGCTCTCACTCAGCTTATCAAAGCTCACACAGCTGAGGCCCCGAGCTCACTGCTTGGTGTTGCCTCATCAGACTGGCTGGGCTCCACTGATGGACCAGATAGTGCCTCAGCTATCTGATGGCTCTAGTGCTTAGGAGGTTAATTCAAGTGATGAATTGGAAAATTGGGAAGGGTGGGAGGAAGGGAATAGGGGCTGCTTCCCAGGGTCTTTAGAATCATTAAAATTTTGTAAAAATTAAGGATTATTCCTCCCTTTTTCCTTTCTAAGACTTAATAAGTTTTAATATTTAAGGAAGAAAGTAACTTATTCCTTGGTACTAAGATGATAATAATTTGAATTAGGGTATATTGCTTGATTTACCATTATGATTTTCTAATACCTGGGAACATTTCTGCAAAATAAGTCTCTTCGAGGAAGCTAGAGATCCACGGAGGCATTTAAACTTACAGAAGAAAAGGCTGAGACACAATTAAGTAATCCAATTAAGGCATAATAGGGTGTTCTAAGATGATGGTGACAAGATAGTCACACTTTTTAAGAAAGCAGAATAGGAGGATTTACAATAAAGTACACTGCAAGAGAAATGGATGGGCAATTAGAGACTATGAAAACAAGTGGAATATAAAAATGGTTTGGGAGCAGCTTATGGAATCACTAGCAACAGAAGGACTGAAAAAGTGATACTTTAAAAAGTATTTTTTTATAGGTGCAAGTGTTGGTCAAAATTAGCCGGTACTTTTTTTTTTTTTTTTCTTCAAGAACTTATGTTATCTTTAGGAAGCACAGAATTTCTCTGTGGGGATATTTATATGACTGGGCAAGGACAAACAGAGAAAAGGCATACACTTGTCCACGTGCAGTTCTCTCTTTGTACTCAACAACATGTTCGTCTTCTTCTATGGTGGTTAAGAGCATCAACTTTGAAGCCAAACAATCCAGGGTCATATCCTTGTTCTACCACTTTATAGCTGTGAGGACTTCAGCATGTTGCCTAACCTCTCTGAACTTTAAAGTTCTAATCTGTAAAATTAGGATGATTATAATAACTGTATCATAGTGTTGTAATAAGAATGAGATGTGTTGATATTGTAATTTTGTTGGAATGGCACCTGGCACATAGTAAATCCTCTGTTATTTCGATAGTACAAAATAGATTAGTTCTTCCTCAACCTAACTCATTTGTAATGTAGGTATTAAACCCCAAAAGTTTCTACTTTCTTGTGTAGATGTGTTTCTGCTAACTCATCAATATCAGTAGTGCCAAGACCGTAGAGTGTGATGATGGTGATCATTATTACAATTATCTCTCTTCAGTGATATAGACACTTGAGTTAGGCCATGCACAAGAAGGCAGGCCAGGTGATTATGAGGTGTAATAGAAAGTGCTTGGATATTGGGGTCCAACAGACCTGGCTGAGTTCAATGTCAGCTTTTTCTTTGACTGTGAGTGATTTACTTAACCTTTTTGAGCCCCAGTTTTCTCAACTTAGAAAGACTATTTTGAGGATAAGGAAGAAGTTGGTGACGATTAGAAATGCAGTCACGAACATAGTGGACTCCTTTGTATAAAGAATCAGACAATGCATGCTTATCACTGCAGAATCTGGTATTATGGGTAACCATTAGGGGAAAGAGTTTTATCTGAAAGATTTTTAAAGTAACATGCTTATAACATCTTTTGAATAAGATAATTTATAGGTGTTATGTCTGTCAACCCACTTAATATATATTTCACATTTAAAAAAATTGAGAACTCTTTAGCTATTATTTCGATTAAATTGTTTAATTGGAGGCAGAATATGGGCTTATTGTTTCTCATTTGTATCTGATAAAGAACCTGTGTTTCCTGGTTAATTCAATTTAAAATAAATTCCATCACTTTAAATACATTAGGAGAAGGGGGAAAAGCCTTTCTCTCTTGAAAGCAACAATGGAGCAATCTATTATTAAATGTAGAAAATGATGCTAATGTAACCTGATGGCTGAGATTTCACAACACAAAAATCAGGAAATTCAGAGTTCCGTTTCCCACAGCAACCATAACTCCTCTCCCCTTGAGCATATGCCACATTTCATATTATCAAATCTGTACTTAGTTCTGAATTATTATATATGCACAATGGGGCCAAATTATAGTCACCATAGGCGCCAGAAATGTAAAATTCCTGACATCTGTGTACTTGAGATTTAAGTTTTAGTGGTGCTTTTCTTTTTTTCTTCTTATTTGTATCTTACTTTATATTCATTGTTTAAGATCCTATTTTGATGTACTGAAAATATTGTCATTATCTTCGACTTTGATTTTCTGCATATGATTCAATAAATGTGTCAGAAACGTGGCAGTAATTAATTCTATCTGCGAATGATTTGGCAACATACTATGTGCAAGACCCAATTCTGTGCTCTTTAATTGACGATTGCGCTCAGTGCTCAGGTCCCTCAGTTTGCAGCTTCCTACTTGGCCCTAAAAGCCATCAAGCAAGACTGACTACATTTGGCACCACAGGTAACAGTTTTTGTTTGAAAGTAGTATTTAGAAGGACTCTCCATAAAATTTGCTATTATTAATATGCACAACCCATGCCCTATCCAAATGTATTTATTTGATTAAGAAAAATACAACTAGCCCTTTTATTATTAAATTACTTAAGTATATACTTTTCAATCCTTCTAAACTTTCTTCAGTTCATGTAGTTAAAACACCAAAAAAAAAGATCCATAATAAGCAGTATTAGTCACTATAAAAATCAAATTCTAGTTTTTAAAGGTGTTATTTCAGATCAGCTATTTGGTACTAGATAGCAACCCACAGAGATGCCTGGCCTTAGTCTTTTGCTATCAGGGGGCCTGGAGAGAAAGGAAGTTACTAAAATAGCCAGGCATTTAGAATTTAAAAATCTTATGGATCATTGGATTAGAAGTTCTGCCTCATGGAATTTGTCCAAACCATCTAATCAGACAAGAGCACCAAGATATATATGCAGGAATAAGTATCATAGCATAGACTGTAATATTAAAAAGCAGAGAGAGAGAAAAACTAACAAAATATTAAGGTATTAGCACTGATTGATTAAATACTGATATAACACCATGCTAAGCGGCACTTAACAATTATGATTTAGGTATATATTTATAATTTATCATGAGAAATGTTTCATAATACATTGTTAAATTGTTGTAAAAAATACAAATTCCAAAGCCTGAATAAGTACTGTGATCTAATTTGGGAATACGGTTATGTATGTAATTTATATATTTTATATATATATGTATATGTATATATGTATGTATATATATGTATAGAACATGAAAAAAATTGTCAAGAAAAGTGTCCAAAATGTTGACAATTATTATCTCTGAATGCTGGAATTTCAGATAATATTTTTTATTATAATTTATCTGTAGAGTTTGAGTTTGTTTTAATAATTATATATAACTTTAATTATCAGAAAAATACATTAAAATACATTAAAACTGTATATGTTTACATATAGACATAAATATGTATGCATAGATATATAAGGCAATTTGATAGCTCTCGTTGTACTAGAGCAAATACACAGCAACAGCAAACTCCGACATGGTCAGAAGTCACACAATTCAACACTTGAGGCTTTGCTTTCTGACCAGGTCATGAGAATATGTTAGTGTCAAGTAAAAATATATAGGTGGGGATTCAGGGATCATAGAGTTAAGGCCCAGATTTTCAAGATAAGTGACACTTTTAGAAGAGGCCGAATAGAGAAGGACCTGGAAGTGCCGGGTATTTACTCACAGTTTGAGTTAAAGGGCACTGTGAACATGTGGGGTTGGGAAGATGCAGTGGTGGGTGCTGCTATCAAAGCAAATGTCATGGGTTAGAAATGAGCAGAGGAAATCATTTTAAAGGAACATGGATATGGTGGGAAATAAGTATAGATTTTAAGGAAGTGTCTTGGATTGATTAGTAGGAAGAGTGGCTGTCAAAAGCATAGCCCTAGAATATAGTTCAGTCAGAATTTATTGAATGCTTATTTACCAAAAAGCCAGCCAAGCACTGAGGAAGATATTTAGCAATCAAGAGCAAAAAAGGGAAGACAGCCTGACAGAATGAAGAGAAAGCATCTAATAAATAAGCATTAAGCCCATGCCTAGAACACCAAGAAGCAAGACTGAGCCACCATGGCAGAAAATCTTCCATTGAAATTTTACACTGTCTTTCTTTTTTTTCTTCCCACTGCCATTACCCTAACCTGAGCTTTTGTTTTCCTTCTTAACTCATTCATGCAAAATTTTTGTATATCTGCCATTTATCAGAGACTGTGGCAAATATTTGCATCATGCTGACAAATAATATCCAGTCCTGCCTTGGAAGGTTATAGTCTGATGGGAGAGTTGGAGAAGTGAAAAGGAGGTCTTCAAGCATTATAAGTACAATGACATGAAGAAATACGATGGGGGCAACTAATTCAGACTGTTGCCTTGGGATAGATGTTTTGTTTTTTCTATCTTACCCCTTCAGCGGCCTCCTAATTCATAGACCTTGCCTCTTCTCCTTTTCAAGCATCTTAATGTTGATATTAGATTCAAAAGTTCTTAACAAGGAATTTTATCCTGTCACTTCCTTGTTCATGAACTTATAATGAGTCTATATTCTCGTTTTTATATATTTTAAACAGTTATGGTCCTTCTACAGTCTCACTGTTTTATATTTCTATTCAAACTCATAGTTCTTCATTCACTTAAGTGTTTGCATTCCCCACTATTGAGGGGCTTTCAAGTTGCAAGACAAATTATATATATTCCCTGTTGTCTAAGAGCTCAAGGTCCAACACAGGGTAGAAATATGTAAAAATGAATACAATGAATGTATAGTGCTGTGACTCAGTACGTATAGGAAACAGTAGAAATGAGCATTGTGAAGTCCATCTGAGAAAAGAACAATATAACTATTAGAAGAGGCAGATCTTGGGCTTGGTCTTAAAAGATGAGTTGGAGTGTGCAACTTGAAGAATGGTTTTCTTTGTTAAAGATGAACATACGTAGGAGCATTAATACATAATGAAACTTGTGATTTGGAAAAGAAGTTTACATTGAGATTGAGCTCAAAATAACAGAAAAATTAGGCTGTAGAGATGTATAGAGGCTGAATCATAGCAAGGTCTCTTTATCACACCTATTAAATGTTTGTAGTCATGACCTTTACTAAAAGGTTCTAAGAGAGAAAGGGACATGACCAGATTTGGATTTTTGGTGGTATGGAATATAGACAGGATGTGTTAGTCCATTCTCACACTGCTATAAAGGACTACCTGAGACTGGGTAATTTATAAAGGAAAGAGGTTTAACTGATTCACATTTTCACATGGCTGGGGAGGCCTCAGGAAATTTACAATCATGACAGAAGGGGAAGCAAACACGTCCTTCTTCAAATGACAGCAGGAAGAAGAAGTGCAGAGCAAAGTGAGGGAAAAGCCCCTTACAAAACCATCAGATCTTGTGAGAACTCACTCACTATCATGAGAACAGCGTGGAGGTAACCATCCCCATGATTCAATTACCTCCCACCAGGTCCCTTCTATGACACATGGGGATTATGGGAACTACAATTCAAGATGAGATTTGGGTAGCACCCAGCCAAATCATATAATTTCACCCTTGGCCCCTCCCAAATCTCATGTCCTCACATTTCAAAACACAGTCATGTCTTCTCAACAGTCTCCCAAAGTCTTAACTCATTCCAGCATTAATACAAAAGTCCAAGTCTAAAGTGTCATCTGAGACAAGGCAAGTCCCTTTGCCTGTGAGCCTGTAAAATCAAAAACAAGTTAGTTACTTCCAGATACAATGGTGTACAGTCTTTGGGTAAATACACCTGTTC